>NC_000022.11:11210921-11378056 GCF_000001405.40 Homo sapiens
GAATTCTCCTGTCTAGTTTTCATGTGAAGATATTTCATTTTCCATCATAAGCCTCAAGAAGACCGAAATACCCAATTGCAGATTCCACAAAAAGAGTATCTCAAAAAACACATATTATATACTGTACATAAAATATCAAAGTATGTGAAATACGTATTATATACTGTACATAAAATATCAAGAATGTGAAATACATATTAAACACAGTACATAAAATATCAAAGTACACGAAATACATATTATATACTGTATATAAAATACCAAAGTACACGAAATACATATTATATACTGTACATAAAATACCAAAGTACATGAAATACATATTATATACAGTACATAAAATATCAAAGTATGAAAAATATATATTATATACTACAGAGAAAATATCAAAATACACAAAATATATATTATATACTGTACATAAAATATCAAAATACACAAAATATATATTAGATACTGTAAAGAAATATCGAAGTACACAAAATATATATGATATACTGTATATAAAATATCAAAGTACACAAAATATATGATATACTGTACATAAAATAACAAAGGGCACAAAATACATATTATATACTGTACATAAAATATCAAAGTACACAAAATACATATTATATACTGTACCTAAAATACCAAAGTACACGAAATACATATTATATACTGTACATAAAATACGAAAGTACACGAAATACATATTATATACTGTACGTAAAATACCAAAATATGCAAAACAAATATATTGTAGATAAAATATTAAAGAACGTGAAATGCATATTATATACTGTACATAAAATATCAAAAGGTAGACAGAATACATATTATATACTGTACATAAAACATCAAAAAGTACACCAAATACACATTATAAATTGTACAACAAATATCAAAAAGTACACAAAATATCAAAGTACACAAAATATATATTATATACTGTATATAAAATATCAAAGTACACTAAATATATATTATATACTGTACTTAAAATATAAAAGTACAAAAATATATATTATATACCGTACATAAAATATCAAAGTACATGAAATACATATATATACTGTACATAAAATATCAAAGTACATCATACATATATACTGTAAAAAAATATCAAAGTACACCTAATACATATTATATACTGTACATAAAATATCAAAGAAAATAGAATACACTATATACTATAAATAAAATATCAAAAAGTACACCAAATACATATTATATACTGCATGTAAAATATCAAAAAGCACACCAAATACATATTATATGCTGTATATAAAATATCAAATTGTACACCAAATACAAATTATATGCTGTATATAAAATATCAAAAAGTACACCAAATACATATTTTATACTGTACATAAAATATCAAAAAGTACACCAAATATATATTAAATACTGTACATAAAATATCAAAAAGTACACCAAATACATATTATATACAGTACATAAAATATCAAAAATACACCAAGTACATATTATATACTGTACATAAAATATCATATAGTACACCAAATACATATTATATACTGTACATAAAATATGAAAAAGTACAGCAAATACATATTATGTACTGTACATAAAATATCAAAATACACCAAATACATATTACATACTGTACATAAAATATCAAAGTACACCAAATACATATTACATACTGTACATAAAATATCAAAGTACACCAAATACATATTACATACTGTACATAAAATATCAAAGTACACCAAATACATATTATATACTGTACATAAAATATCAAAGCACACCAGAAACATATTGTTTAGTGTACATAAAATATCAAAGTACACCCGATACATATTATTTACTATATATAAAATATCAAGGTAAACCAGATACATATTATATACCGTACATAAAATATCAAAGAACACCAGATACATATTACTTGTTGTACATAAAATATCAAAGTACACCAAATACATTTTACTTACTGTACATAAAATATCAAAGTACACCAAATACATATTATATACTGTACACAAAATATCAAAGTACACAAAATACATATTATATACTGTACATAAAATATCAAAGTACAGGAAATATATAATATATACTGTATGTAAAATATCAAAATACCCGAAATATATATTATATACTGTACAAAAAATATCAAAGTACACCAAATATATATTACATACTGTACAACAAATATCAAAGTACACAAAATAAGTTATATACTGCACATAAAATATCAAAGTACGCTTAATATATATTATATATTGTACATGAAATATCAAAGTACACAAAATACATATTATATACTGTAGATAAAATATCAAATTACACCAAATACATGTTATATACTGTACATAAAATATCAAAGTACACAAAATACATATTATGTACTGTACATAAAATATCAAAGTACTCCAATTGCATATTATATACTGTAAGTAAAACATCAAAGTACACCAAATTCATATTATACACTGTACATAAAATATCAAAGTACACCAAATACATATTATATACTGTACATAAAATATCAAAGTACACCAAATACGTATTATATACTGTACATAAAATATCAAAGAGTACACAAAATACATATTATATTCTGTATATAAAATATCGAAAAGTACACCAAATACATATTATATACTCTATATAAAATCTCAAAAACTACAAAAATACATATTATACACTGTACATAAAATATCAAAAGAACACCATATACACATTATATACTGTAAATAAAATATGAAAAAGTTCACCAAATACCTATTATATACTGCACATATAATATCAAAAAGTTCACCAAATACATATTATATACTGTATAAAAAATATAAAAATGCACACGAAATATATATTATACACTGTACATAAAGTATCAATGTACACAAAATACATATTATACTCTGTACATAAAATATAAAAGTACACAAAATACATATTACACACTGTACACAAAAATCAAAGTACACAAAATATATATTATATACTGAATATAAAATATCAAATTGCACCAAATACTTATTATATACTGTACATAAAATATTAAAGTACACCAATTACGTATCATATACTGTAGATAAAATAGCAAATAACACCAAATACATATTATATACTGTACATAAAATATCAAAGTACACCACATACATATTATATACTGTACATAAAATATCAAAGTATACGAAGTACATACTATATGGTGTAGATAAAATATCAAACTACACGAAAAACATATTATATACTGTACATAAAATATCCAAAAACACCAAATACATCATACATACTGTACATAAAATATCAAAGAACCCCAAATGTATTATATACTGTACATAAAATATCAAACTACACCAAATATATATTATATACTGTACCTAAACTATCAAAGTACAACAAATACATATTATATAATGTACAAAAAATATCAAAGTACACAAAATATATAATATATTTCTCTTAAAATATCAAAGTACACAAAATACATATTATATACTGCACATAAAATATCAAAGTACTCAAAATAAATATTACATACTGTACATAAAATATGAAATTACACAAAATACATATTATATACAGTACAGAAAATATCAAAGTACACAAAATACGTATTATATAATGTACATAAAATATCAAAGTACACAAAATACGTATTATATACTGTACATAAATTATCAAAGTACCAAATACAGATTATATACTGTATATAAACTATCAAAAAGTACACCATATACATATTGTATACTGTACATAAAATACCAAAATACATGAAATACATATTATATACAGTACATAAAATATCAAATACACCAAATACATATTATATACTGTACATAAATTATCAAAAAGTACACCAAATACATATTATATATTGTACATAAAATATCCAAATGTACACCAAATACATATTATATACTGTACATAAAATATCCAAAAGTACACCAAGTACATATTATATACTGTACATAAGGTATCCAAATTACATCAAATACATATTATATGCTGTACATAAAATATCAAAAAGAACACCAAATACAGTTTATATACTGTACATAAATTATCAAAAAGTACACCAAATACATATTATATAAGGTACATAAAATATCCAAAAGTACACCAAATATGTATTATATACTGTACATAAAATATCCAAAACTACACCAAATACATATTATAGGCTGTACATAAAATATCCAAATGTACAACATATACATATTATATAATGAACAAAAAATATTCAAAAGTACACCAAATACTTATTATATACTGTAAATAAAATTTCCAAATATACACCAAATACAAATTATATAATCTACATAAAATATCAAAAGTACACCAAATACATATTATATACTGTACATAAAATATCAAAAAGTTCACCTAATACATATTATATACTGTACATAAAATATCAAAAAGTACAACAAATACATATTATTTACTGTACATAAAATATCAAAAAGTACTCCAAATACATATTATATTCTGCACATAAAATATCAAAAAGTACACCAAATACATATTATATACTGTACATAAAATATCAAAAAGTACACCAAACACATATTATATACTGTACATAAAATATCAAAAAGTACACCAAAAACATTTCAGTCCTATGGTGAAAAAGGAAATATCTTCACATAAAAACCAGACAGTAGCATTCCTAGAAACTATTTTGTTATGTATGCATTAATCTCATGGTGTTGTACCTTTCTTTTGATTGAGCAGTTTTGAAACACACTTTTTGCAGTATCTGCAAGGGGATACTTGGAGCGCTTTGAGGCCTATGGTGGAAAAGGAAGTATGTTCACATAAAAACCAGACAAAATCATTCCTAGAAACTACTTTGTTATGTGTGCATTAATCTCATGGTGTTGTACCTTTCTTTTGATTGAGTAGTTTTGAAACACACTTTTTGCAGAATCTGCAAGGGGATACTTGGAGCACTTTGAGGTCTATGGTGGAAAAGGAAGTATCTTCACATAAAAACCAGACAGAAGCATTCCTAGAAACTACTTTGTTATGTGTGCATTAATCTCATGGTGTTGTACTTTTCTTTTGATTGAACAGTTTTGAAACACACTTTTTGCAGAATCTGCAAGGGGATACTTGGAGCGCTTTGAGGCCTACAGTGGAAAAGGAAGTATCTGCATATAAAAACTAGACAGACACTTTCTGAGAAATTTCTTTGTGATGTGTGCTTTCATCTCACAGAGTTGAACCTTTCTTTTGATTGAGCAGTTTGGCAACAGTCTTTTTGTGGTATCTGCAAATGGATATTAGCAGCCCTTTGAGACATATGGTGAAAAAGGAAATATCTTCCCATAAAAACTAGTCAGAAGCATTTTGAGAATCCTCTTTGTGATGTGTGCATTTATCTCACAGAGTTAAACCTTTCTTTTTATGGAGTAGTTTGGAAACAGTCTTTTTGTAGTATCTGCAAATGGTAATTTGAGCGCTTTGAGGCCTATGTTGGAAAAAGAAATATCTTCACGTTAAAACTAGACCGAAGCTTTCTGAGAAACTTATTTGTGATGTGTGCATTCATCTCACAGAGTTGAACGTTTCTTTTGATTGAGCAGTTTTGAAACACTCTCTTTATACTATCTGCAAATGGATATTTGGAGTGCTTTGAGTCCTATAGTGGAAAAGGAAATATCTTCACAGAAAATCTAGAAAGAAGAATTCTGAGAAACTTCCTGGTGATGTGTGCTTTCATCTCACACTGTTAAACCTTTCTTTTAATTGAGCAGCTTTGATACAGTCATTTTGTCGAATCTGAAATGTAATATTTGTGAGCCCTTTGAGGCCTCTGGGGAAATAGGTAATATCTTCACATAGAAACTAGACCAAAACTTTCTGAGAAACTTTCTTGTGATATGTGCATGCGTCACACAGAGGTGAACTTTCTTTTGATTGGGTAGTTTGTAAACACTCATTTGCAGTATCAGCAAATGGATATTTATAGCGTATTGAGGCCTTTGGTGAAAAAGGAAATATCTTCACATAAAAATCAGACAGAAGCATTCTGGGAAACTTCTTTGTAATGTGTGCATTCATCTCACAGGCTTCAACCTTTCTTTTGATTGAGCAGTTTTGAAACAGCCTTTTTTTAGAATCTGCAAGTGGATATTTGGAGCACTTTGATTCCTATAGTGGAAAACGAAATATCTTCACACAAAAACTAGACAGAAGCATTCTGAGAAACTTCTACCTGATATGTGCATTGACCTCACAGGGTTGAACGTTTCTTTTGATTAAGCAGTTTGGAAACAGTCATTTTGTAAAATCTACAAAGGGATATTTGTGAGCCCTTTGAGGTCTCTGGGGAAATAGGAAATGTCTTCACATAAAAACTAAAGAGAAACTTTCTGAGAAAATTCTTTGCAATATGTGCTTTCATCTCACAGAGTTGAACGTTTCTTTTGATTGAGAAGTATTGAAACACTGTTTTTGTAGAATCTGCAAATGGTTATTTGAACATTTTGAGATGTATGGTGAAAATGGAAATATCTTCACATAAAAATTAAACAGAAGCTTTCTATGAAACTTCTTTGTGATGTATGCACTCATCTCACAGAGTTCAACCTTTCTTTTGATTGAGCAGTTTGGAAACAGTCTTTTTCTACAATCTGCAAAGGGATATTTCTTAGCCGTTTGAGGCCTCTGCTTAAGAAGTAATATCTTCACATAAAAACTAGACAGAAGCTTTCTTAGGAACTTCTTTTTTATGTGTGCTTTCACCTCACAGAGCTGAACTTTTCTTTTGATTGAGCAGTTTGGAAAGAGTCTTTTTGTAGTATATGTGGAGTGATATTTGTGAGTGTTTTAAGGCCTATGGTGAAAAAGAAAACATCCTCACATAAAAACTAGACAGAAGCTTTCTGAGAAAAGTCTTTGTGATGTGTGCATTCACCCCAAAAAGTTGAACCTTTCTTTTGATTGAGTAGTTTGGAAACAGTCTTTTATAGTATCTGCAGAGAGATATTTGTGAGCATTTTGGGGACTGTGGTGAGGAAGGAAATATCTTCACATAAAACCTAGTCAGAAGCATTCTGAAAAACTTCTTTGTGATGTGTGCATTCATCTGACAGAGTTGAAACTTTGTTTTGATAGAGCAGTTTGGAAACAGTCCTTTTGTAGGATCTGCAAAGGGATATTTCTGAGCCCATTGAGGCCTAAGTTGAAAAAGGAAATATCTTCACATAAAAACTAGACAGAAGCTTTCTGAGAAACTTCTTAGTGATGTGTGCTTTCATCTCACAGATTTGAAACTTTCTTTTGATTGAGCAGTTTGGAGACAGTCTTTTTGTAGAATATGCAAACAGATACTTGGAGTGTTTTGAGGCCTATGGTGAAAAAGGAAATATCTTCACATTAAAACTAAACAGAAGCTTTCTGAGAAACCTCTTTTTGATGAGTGCATAAATCTCATAGAGTTGAACCTTTCTTTTGATTGTGCAATTTAGAAAGAGTCTTTTTGTACAATCTGCAAAGGGATATTTCTGCAAAGTTTGAGGACTGTAGTGAAAAAGAAATATCTTCAGATAAAACCAGACAGAAGTATTCTGAGAAACTTCTTTGTGATGTATCCATTCATCTCACAGAGTTGAACCTTTCCTCTGATGGAGCAGTTTGGAAACAGTCTTTTTGTAGTATCTGCAGAAGGATATGTGAGAGCAGTTTGAGGCCTATGGTGAAAAAGGAAATATCTTCACATAAAAACTAGGCAGAAGCATTCTGAGAAACTTCTTTGTTACGTGTGCATTCATATCACTATGTTGAACCTTTCTTTGAATTGAGCAGTTTGGAAACAGTCCTTTTGTAGAATCTGCAAAGGGATATTTCTGAGCCCATTGAGGCCTGTGGTGAAATTGGAAATATCTTCACATAAAAACGAGACTGAGGATTTCTGAAAAACTTCTTTGGATATGTGCTTTCATCTCACAGAGTTGAACCGGTCTTTTGGTTGAGCAGTTTAGAAACTCTTTTTGTACGATCTGCACAGGGATATTTCTGTTCCCTTTGATGCCTATGGTGAAAAACGACATATCTGCACATGAAAACTAGACAGAAGCTTTTGGAGAAACTTCTTGTGATATGTCCATTCATCTCACTGGGTTGAACCTTTCTTCTGATTGAGCAGTTTGGAAACAGTCTTTTTGTAGAATCTGCAATGGGATATTTGTGAGTCCTTTATGGCCTATGATGAAATAGGAAATATCTTCACATAAAAACTAGATAAAAGCTTTCTTATTAACTTCTTTTTATGTGTGCTTTCATCTCACAGAGTTGAACTTTTCTTTTGATTGAGCAGTTTGGAACCAGTGTTTTTGTAGAATCTGCAAATAGATATTAGGAACGCTTTGAGGACTATGGTGAAAAAGGAAATATCTTCACATAAAAACAAGACATAAGTTTTTGAGAAAATTTTTGTGATGTTTGCATTCATCTCACATAGTTGAACATTTCTGTTGATTGAGCAGTTTGGAACCCATCTTTTTGTATAATCTGCAAAGGGACATTTCTGATCGTTTTGAGGCCTATGGTGAAAAAGAAATATCTTCACATAAAAGCTAGACAGAAGTATTCTGAAAAACTTCTTTTTATGAGAGCATTCATTTCACAGATGTGAACATTTCTTTTCATTGAGCAGTTCAGAAACAGTCTTTCTGTACAATCTCCAAAGAGACATTTCTCAGTGGTTTGAGATGTATGGTGAAAAAGAAATATCTTCAGATAAAAACAAGACAGAAACATTCTGACAAACTTTTTGTGATTTGAGTATTCATCTCACAGAGTTGAACGTTTCTTTTGATTGAGCAGTTTGGAAACAGTTTTTTTTGGTAGTATATGTGGAGTGATATTTTTGAGTGGTTTAAGGCCTATGGTGAAAAAGGAAATATCCTCACATAAAAACTACACAGAAGCTTTATGCAAAACGTCTTTGTGATGTGTGCAGTCATCTCACAGAGTTGGACCTTTCTCTTGATTGAGCAGTTTTGAAACACTCTTTTTGTAGAACCTGCAAATGGGTATTTTGCTCACTTTGACACCTATGATGAAAAAGGAGATGTATTCACATAAAAACTAAACAGAAGCTTTCTCAGAAACTTCTTCATGATGTGTGCATTCATCTCACACAGTTTAACTTTTCTTTTGATTCAGCAGTTTGGAAACAGTATTTTTATACAATCTGCAAAGGGATACTTCTTAGCAGATTTAGGCCTATGGTGAATTAGGAAATATCTTCACATAAAAACTAGACAGAAGCTTTCTGAGAAACTTCTTTGTAATGTGTGTTTTCATCTCACAGAAATGAAACTTTCTTTTGATTGAGCAATTTGGAAACTCTCTTTTTGTAGGATCTGCAAATGGATATTTGGAGCACTTTGAGGCCTGTGGTGAAAAAGGAAATATCTTCACATAAAAACTAGACAGAAGCATTCTGGAAACATCTTTGTGATGTGAGCATTCATCTCGCAGAGTTGAACCTTTCTTTTGATTGAGCAGTTTGGAAACAGTCTTTTATAGTATCTGCAGAGAGATATTTGTGAGCATTTTGAGGACTTTGGTGAGAAAGGAAATATCTTCACATAAAACCTAGTCAGAAGCATTCTGAGAAACTTGTTTCTGATGTGTGCATTCATCTGACAGAGTTCAAACTTTGTTTTGATTGAGTAGTTTGGAAACAGTCTTTTTGTAGGATCTGCAAAGGGATATTTCTGAGCCCATTGAGACCTATGGTGAAAGAAGAAATATCTTCACTTAAAAACTAGACAGAAGCCTTCTGAGAAGCTTCTTAGTGATGTGTGCTTTCGTCTCACAGATTTGAGCCTTTCTTTTGATTGAGCAGTTTGGAAACAGTCTTTTTGTAGAATCTGCAAAGGATATTTTGAGCGCTTTGAGGCCTATGGTGAAAAAGGACATAACTTCACATGAAATCTAAACAGAAGCTTTCTGAGAAACTTCTTTTTGATGAGTGCATACATCTCACAGAGATGAAACTTTCTTTTCATTGAGCAATTTGGAAACAGTCTTTTTATGAAATCTGCAAAGGGATATTTCTGTGAAGTTGGAGGCCTATGGTGAAAAAGAAATATCTTCAGATAAAATGTAGACAGAAGTATTCTGAGAAACTTTTTTGTGATTTATCCAGTCATCTCACAGAGTTGAACTTTTCTTTTGATGGAGCAGTCTGGAAACAATCCTTTTGTAGTATCTACAGAGAGATATGTGAGAGTGGTTTAAGGCCTATGGTGAAAAAGGAAATATCTTCACATAAAAACCAGCTAGAAGCATTCTGAGAAACTTCTTTGTGTTGTATGCATTCATCTCAAAGAGTTGAACCTTTCTTTAGATTGAGCAGTTTGGAAACAGTCCTTTTGTAGAATCTGCAAAGGGATATTTCTGAGCCCATTGAGGCCTATGGATGAAATAGGAAATATCTTCACATAAAAACTAGACAGAGGATTTCTGAGAAACTTCTTTGTGATATGTGCTTTCATCTCACAGAGTTGAACCATTCTTTTGGTTGAGCAGTTTGGAAACAGTCTTTTTGTAGGATCTGCAAAGGGATATTTCTGTTCCCATTGATGTCTATGGTGAAAAAGGACATATCTTCACATAAAAGCTAGACAGAAGATTTCTGATAAACTTCTTAGTGATGTGAGCTTTCATCTCACAGATTTGAACCTTTCTTTTGATTGAGAAGTTTGGAAACAGTCTTTTTGTACAATCTGCAAAGGATATTTTGAGCACTTTGGAGCCTATGGTGAAAAATGACATATCTTCACACGAAATCTAAACAGAAGCTTTCTGAGAAACTTCTTTTTGATGTGTGCATACATCTCACAGTGTTGAAAGTTTCATTTCATTGAGCAGTTTGGAAACAGTCTTTTTGTACAATCTGGAAAGGGATATTTCTGCGAAGTTGGAGGCCTATGTCGAAAAAGAAATATCTTCACATAAAAACTAGACAGAAGTATTCTGAGAAACTTCTTTGAGATGTATCCTTTCATTTCACAGAGTTGAACCTTACTTTTGATGGAGCAGTTTGGAGACAGTCTTTTTGTAGTATCTGCAGAGAGATATCTGAGAGCAGTTTAAGGCCTACGGTGAAAAAGGAAATATCTTCACAAAAACCTAGGCAGAAGCATTCTGAGAAACTTCTTTGTGATGTATGCATTCATCTCAAAGAGGTGAAACTTTCTTTGGATTGAGCAGTTTGGAAACAGTCCTTTTGTAGAATCTGCAAAGGGATATTTCTCAGCCCATTGAGGCCTATGGTGAAATAGGAAATATCTTCCCATAAAAACCAGACAGAAGCTTTCTGAGAAACTTCTTTGAGATATGTGCTTTCATCTCACAGAGTTGAACCTTTCTTTTAGTTCAGCAGTTTGGAAACAGTCTTTATGTAGAATCTTCAAAAGGCTATTTGTGAGCCCTTTCTGGACTATGGTGAAACAGAAAATACCTTCACATAAAAATTAGACAGAAGCTTTCTGAGAAACTTCTTTATGATGTGTTCTTTCACCTCACAGAGTTGTAACTTTCCTTTGATTGAGCAGTTTGGAAACACTCTTTTTGTAGAATCTGCAAATGGATATTTGGAGTGCTTTGAGGCCTATGGTGAAAAAGGAAATATCTTCACATAAAAACTAGACAGAAGCATTCTGAGAAACTTATTTGTCCTGTGTGCATTCACCTCACAGAGCTGAACCTTTCTTTTGAAGGAGCAGATTGGAAACAGTCTGTTTGCAGTATCTGAGGAGGTATATGTGTGAATGGTTTAATGCCTATGGTAAAAAAGGAAATATCGTCACATAAAAACTAGACAGAAGCATTCTGAGAAACTTCTTTGTGACGTGTGCTTTCCTCTGAGAGAGTTGAACCATTCTGTTGATTGAGCAGTTTGGAAACAGTCTTTTTCAATTATCTGCAGAGGGATATTTGTCAGCGATTTGAGGCCTAAGGTGGAAAAGGAAATATCTTCACATGAAAGCTAGACAGAAGCATTCTGAGAAATTTCCTTGTTATGTGTCCATTCGTCTCACAGGGATGAACCTTTCTTTTGATTGAGCGATTCAGAAACAGTATTTTTAAAATCTGCAATGGGATATTTGTGAGCCCTTTGTGGTCTATGATGAAGTAGGAAATATCTTCACATAAAAACTAGACAGAAGCTTTCTTAGAAACTTCTTTTATATGTGTGCATTCATCTCACAGAGTTGAACTTTTTTATGATGAAGCAGTTTGGAAACAGTCTTTTTGTAGAATCTGCAAATGGATATTAAGAAAACTTCAGGCCTTTGGTGAAAATGAAATATCTTCACATGAAAACTAGAAGGAATATTTTTGAGTAAACACTTTATGTTGTTTGCATTCATATCACAGATTTGAAATTTTCTTTTAATTGAGCAGTTTGGAGACCGTCTTTTTGTAGAATCTGCAAAGGGATATTTCTGATAGGTTTTAGGCTTACAGTGAAAAAGAAATATTTTCACATAAAAGCTAGACAGAAGCATTCTGAGAAACTTCTTTTTATGTGTGCATTCTTCTCACAGATGGGAACCTTTCTTTTCATTGAGCATTTCAGGAACAGTGTTTTTGTAGAATCTGCAGAGGGACATTTCTGACCCCTTTGAGGCCTAAAGAGGAAATAGGAAAAATCTTCACATAAAAACTAGACAGAAGTATTCTGAGAAACTTTGATGTGTTATGTGCTTTCATCTCACAGAGTTGAACGTTTCTTTAGATTGAGCAGATTGGAAACAGTCTTTTCAGAGGATCTGCAAATGGATATCTGGAGAGCTTTGAGACCTATGGTGCAAAAGGAAATATCTTCATATAAAACTAGACACAAGCATTCTGAGAAACTTCTTTGTGATGTGTGCATTCAACTCAAAGAGTTGAACATTTCTTTTGATTGAGTAGTTTGGAAACACTCTTTTTGTAGAATCTGCAAGTGGATATTTGGAGCGCTTTGAGGACTATAGTGGAAAAAGAAATATCTTCACATAAAAACTAGACAGAAGCATTCTGAGAAACTTCTTTGTGATGTGTGCATTCACCACAAAGAGTAGAACGTTTCTTTGGATTGAGCAGTTTGGAAACAGTCCTTTGTAGAATCTGTGAAGGGATATTTCTCAGCCCATTGATGCCTACAGATGAAATAGGAAATATTCTCACATAAAAACTAGACAGAGGATTTCTGAGAAACTTCTTTGTGATATGTGGTTTCATCTCACAGAGTTCAACCATTTTTTTTGTTGAGCAGTTTGGAAACACTCTTTTTGTAGAATCTGCAAGTGGATATTTGGAGCACATCGAGGCCTATGGTGGAAAACAAAATATTTTCACATAAAAATTAGACAGAAGCATTCTGAGAAACTTCTTTGTGATGTGTGCATTCAACTCACAGAGTTGAACCTTTCTTTTGATTCAGCAGTTTTGAAACCCTCTTTTTGTAAAATCTATCAGTGGTTCTTTGGAGCGCTTTGAGGCTTATGGTGGAAAAGGAAATATCTTCACATAAATAGTAGACAGAAACATTCTGAGAAACTTATTTGTGATGTGTGTATTCAACTCACAGAGTGGAACCCTTCTTTTGATTGAGCAGTTTTGAAACACTCCTTTTGTAGAATCTGCAAGTGGATATTTGGAGTGCTTTGTGGTCTTAAGTGGAAAAGGCAATATCTTCACATAAAAACTAGACAATAGAATTCTGAGAAACTTCTTTGTGATGTGTGCATTCATCTCACAGAGTTGAAGCTTTCTTTCAATTAAGCAGCTTTGAAACACTCTTTTTGTAGAATCTCCAATTGGATATTTGGAGCACTTTGATGCCTATGGTGGAAAAGGAAATATCTTCACATAAAAAATACACAGAAGCATTCTCACAAATTTGTTTTTGATGTGTGTATTCAACAAATAGAGTTGAACCTTTCTTTTGATTGAGCAGTTTTGAAACACACTTTTTTTAGGATCTGCAAGTGGATATTTGGAGCGTTTTGAGGCTTATGGTGGAAAAGGAAATATCTTCACATAAAAACTACAGAGAAGCATTCTGACAAAATTCTTAGTGCTGTGTCTGTTCAACTCACAGAGTTGAACCTTTCTTCTGATTGAGCAGTTTTGAAACACTCTTTTTTTAGAATTTGCAAGTGGATATTTCAAGCACTTTGTGGCCTCTGTTGGAAAAGGAAATATCTTCACATAAACTAGACAGAAGCATTCTGAGAAATTTCCTTGTGATGTGTGCCTTCATCGCACAGAGTTGAACCTTTCCTTTGATTAAGCAGTTTTGAAACACTCTTTTAGTGGAAAAGGAAATATCTTCACATAAAAACTAGACTGAAGCATTCTGAGAAACTTCTTTGTGATGTATGCATTCATCTCACAGAGTTGAACTTTCTTTTTGTTGAGCAGTTTTGAAACACTCTTTTGGTAGAATCTGCCATTGGATATTTGGAGTGCTGTGAGGCCTATGGTGGAAAAGGACATATCTTCACATAAGAACTATAAAGCAGGTTCTCTAAAAACAACCTTGTGATGTGTGCATTCATCTCACAGAGGTAAATGATTTTTCTCTGATCAGTCTGGAAACTCTGTTCTTGTACAATCTCAAAAGGGGTATTTTTGAGCACTTTGAGGCCTATTGTGACAAATGAAATATCTTCACATTCAAAGTATAAAGAAAGTTTCTGAGATACTTCTTTGTGATACGTGCATTCATCTCACAGATTTGAACCTCTCTTTTAATTCAGCCATTTGGACACAGTCTTTTTGAAGAATCTGCAAATGGATATTTGTGAGCACTTTGAGGCCTATGCAGGAAAATAAGTATCTTCACAGAAAACTGTAAAAAAGGTTTCTGAGAAACTGTTTTGTGATGTGTGTCTTCATCTCACAGAGGTAAAAGATTCTTTTCTTTGATCAGTTGGGAAACTCTGTTCTTGTAGAATCTGCTAAGGGACATTTGTGAGTGCCTAGAGCCCTATGGTAAAAAAGATATTGTCTTCACATAAAAACCAGACAGAAGCCTACTGAGAAACTCCTTGGTGATGTGTGCATTGATCTCACAGAACTGAAACTTTCTTTTGATTGATCAGTTTGGAAACGTCTTTTTGTGGAATCTGTAAAGGGATATTTCTGAGCACTTTGAGGCCTATGGTGAAAGAGAAATTATCTTCACATAAAAACTAGACTAAATATTTCTGAGAAACTGCTTTGTGATGTATGCATTCATCTCACAGAGTGCACCAATTCTTTGGATTGAGCAGTTGGGAAACCATCTTTTTGTAGAATCTGCAAAGGGTTTTGTGAGTGCTTTGAGGTCTATGGTTAAAAGGAAATATCTTCACATAAAAACTATAAAGAAGGTTTGTGAGAAACTTCTTTGTGATGTGTGCATTCATCTCACAGAGTTGAACCATTCCTTTGACTCAGCAGTTTGGAAACAGTCTTTTTTTAGGATCTGCAAAGGGATATTTTTGAGCACTTTGAGGCCCATGGTGAAAAAGGAAACACTTACACATAAAAACAAGATAGAAGCTTTCTAAGAATCATCTTTTTGATATGTGCGTTCATCCCACAGAGGTGAAACTTTCTTTTGATGAGCATTTTGGAAACAGTATTTTGTAGAATTTCCAAATGGTTATTAGTTCACGCTTTGTGTCCTATGTTGGAAAAGGAATTATCTTTACATAAAAACTAGAGAGAATATTTCTGAGAAACTGCTTTGTGATGTGTGCTTTCATCTCACAGAGGTAACCATTTCTTTTCATTGAACAGATTGGAAATTCTGTTCCTGTAAAATTTGCAAAGAGATATTTATCAGCACTTTGAGGCCTATGGTGAAAAAGGAATTATCTTCATGTAAAAACTAGACAGAAGCTTTCTGTGAAACATCTTGGAGATGTGAGAATTCATCTCACAGAGTTGAAACATTCTCTTGATTGGGCAGTTTGTAAACAGTATTTTGGTAGAATCTGCAAAGGGACAATTTTGAGCGCTTTGCATCCAGTGTTGAAAAAGGAAATACCTTCACATAAAAACTAGACAGAATGTTTCTGAGAAACTGCTTTGTGATATGTGCATTCATCTCCCAGATGTGTCTGTTTCTTTTCATTGAGAAGATTGGAAACTCTTTTCTGGTAAAATCTGCAAAGGGATATTTGTGAGCCCTTTAAGGCATATGGTGAAAAAGGAAATATCTTTACATAAAAACTACACAGAAGTTTCTGAGAAACATTGTGGCAATGTGAGCATTCATCTCACAGAGTTGAAACATTCTTTTGATTGAGCAGTGTGTAACAAGTCTTTTTGTGGAATCTGCAAAGGGATATTTGTGAATGCTTTGAGGCCTATGGTGAAAAAGGAAATATCTTCACATAAAACATAGAGAGAAGCTTTCTGAGAAATCTCTTTGTGGTGTGCATGCATCTCACAGAGTTGAACCTTTCTTTTGATTGAGCAATTTAGAAAAAGTATTTTTGTAGAATCTGTAAAGGGATATTTGTGAGCACTTTGAGGCCTATGGTGAAAAAGCAAGTGTCTTCACATAAAATCTAGACAGAAGCATTCTGAGAAACTTCTTTGTGATGTGTGCATTCATCACACAGAGTTGAACCTTTGTTTTGATTGAGCAGTTTGGAAACAGTCTTTTTGTAGAATCTGCAAATGGATATTTTGAGTGCTTTGAGGCCTATGGTGAAAAAGGAAATATATTCACATAAAAACTAGACTGAACGTTTCTGAGAAACTTCTTTGAGATGTGTGCATTCATCTCACAGTGTTCAAAAATTCTTTTTATTGAGCAGTTTGGAAACAGTCTTTTTGTAGAATCTGCAAAGGGATATTTGTGAGAGCTTTGAGGCCTATGGTGAAAAAGGAAATATCTTCAAAGAAAAACTATAAAGAAAGTTTCTGAGAAACTTCTTTGGATGTGTGCATTCATCTCACAGAGTGGAAACATTCTTTGGATCAAGCAGTTTGGAAACGTCTTTTTGTACAATCTGCAAAGGGATATTTAGGAGCGCATTGAGGCCTATGGTGAAAAAGGAAATATCTTCACATAAAAACTAGAAAGAAGCATTCTGAGAAGCTGCTTTAAGATATGTGTATTCATCTCGCAAAGGTAAATGTTACTTTTCATTGAGCAGTTTGTAAACGCTGTTATTCTAGAATCTGCAAAGGGAAATTTTTGAGTGCTTTGAGACCCACGATGAAAAAGGAACTATCTTCACATAAAAACTAGTGAGAGGCTTTCTGAGAAACTACTTTCTGATGTGTGCATTCATCTAACAGAGTTGAAACTTTCTTTTGATTGAGCAGTTTGGAAATAGTCTTTTTGTAGTTTCTGCAAAGGTATATTTGGGAGTGAGTTGATGCCTATGTTCAAAAAGGAAATATCTTCACAAAAAAGCGAGAAGGAAGTTTTCTGAGAAACTTCTTTGTGATGTGCACATTCGTCTCACAGGGTTGAACTATTCTGTTTATTGAGCAGTTTGGAAACAGTCTTTTCATAGAATCTGCAAAGGGATATCTGGGAGCACATTGAGGCATATGGTGAAAAAGGAAATATCTTCACATAAAAGTAGAAAGAAATTTTCTGAGTAGTTCCTTTGTGACATGTGCATTCATCACACAGAAGTAAAAGTTTCTTCCCATTGAGCAGTTAGTTTTTATGTGAAGATATTTCCATTTTCAACATAGACCTCAAACCACCTACATATATCCCTTTGCAGATTCTACAAAAAGACTGTTTCCAAAAGGCTCAAAGAAATCTTCCACTCTGCAAGATGAATGCACACATCACAGAGAAGTTTCTCAGAAAGTTTCTGTCTAGTTTTTATTTGTTGATACTCCCTTTTTCACCATAGGCCTCAAACTACTCATAAATAACCCTTTGCATATTCTACAAAAAGACTGTTTCCAAACTACTGAATGAAAAGAAAGGTTCAAATCTGTGAGGTGAATGCACACATCACAAAAAAAGTTTCTCAGAAAGCTTCTATCTAGCTTTTATTTGAAGATGTTTCCTTTTTCAATATAGGCCTCAAAGTGCTCACAAATGTCCCTTTACGGATTTTACAAAAAGACTGTTGCACACTTCACAAAGAAGTTTCTCAGAAAGCTTCTGTCCAGTTTTTATGTGAAGATATTTCCTTTTTCACCGTAAGTCTCAACGCATTCAAATTATCACTTTGAAGATTCTACAAAAAACATTTTCCAACCTGCTCTATCTAAAAAAGGTTCAACTCTGTGAGAAGAATGCACACATCAAAAATAAATTTCTCAGAATGCTTCTGTCTAGTTTTTATGTGAAGATATTTCCTTTTTAACTTTTCTCCACAAACTGCTCACAAATATCCCTCTGCATATTCTACAAAAAGACTGTTTCCAAACTGCTCAATCAAAAGAAAGTTTCAACTCTGTGAGATGAATGCACAAATCACAAAGAAGTTTCTCAGAAAGCTTCTGTCTAGTTTTTATGTGAAGATACTTCCTTTTTCACCATAGACCTCAAAGCCCACCAAATATCCTTTTGCAGATTCTACAAAAAGATTGTTTCCAAACTGCTCAATCAAAAGAAAGTTTCAACTCTGTAAGATGAACACACATATCACAAAGAAGTTACTCAGAAAGTTTCTGACAAGTTTTTATGTGAAGATATTTCCTATTTCACCATAGGCCTCAAAGGGCTCAAAAATATCCCATTTCAGCTTCTGCAAAAACACTGTTTGCAAACTGCTTAATGAAAACAAAAGTTAGTCTCTGTGAGATGAATGCACACGTCACAAAGAACTTTCTCAGAATGCTTCTGTCTAGTCTTTATGTGAAGATAGTTCCTTTTTCACCATAGGCCTCAAACTGCTCAAAAATATCCCTCTGTAGATCCTACAAAAAAAGTGTTTCCATACTGCTCAATCTAAAGAAACTTTCAACTCTGTGAGATGAATGCACACATCAGAAAGAAGTTTGTCAGGAAGCTTCTGTCTAGTTTTTATTCGAAGACACTTCCTATTGCACCCTAGGATCAAATTGCTCCAAATCTCCATTTGCATTTTCTACAAAAAAGACTGTTTCCAAACTGCTCAATCAAAAGAAAGGTTCAACTCTGTGAGATGAATGCACACATCACAAAGAAGTTTCTCAGAATGCTTCTGTCTAGTTTTTATGTGAACATATTTCCTTTTTCAACATAGGCCTTAAACTGCTTACAAATATCCCTCTGCAGATACTCAAAACAGACTGTTTCCAAACTGCTCAATCAAAATAAAGGTTCAACTCTGTGAGATGAATGCACACACAATACAGAAGTTTCTCAGAAGGCTTCTGTCTAGTTTTTATGTGAAGATATTTCCTATTTCAACAGAGGCATCATTGGGTTCAGAAATATCCTTTTGCAGGTTCTACAAAAGGATTGTTTCCAAACAGCTCAATGAAAAGAAAGGTTCAAATCCGTGTAATGAACGCACACATTACGAAATTTTCAGAATGCTTCTGTCTAGTTTTTATGTGATGATATTTCTTTAACTCCATAGGCCTCAAAATGCTCAGATATATACCACTGCAGATACTACAAAAAGACTGTTTCCAATCTGCTAAATCAAAAGAAAAGTTCTACTCTGTGAGATGAAAGAACACATCATAAGGAAGTTTCCCAGAATGCTTCTGTATAGTTTTCTGTGAAGATATTTCCTTTTTCACCATAGGCCACAAACCCCTCACAAATATTCCTATGCAGATAGTACAAAAAGACTGTTTCTTAATTGTGCATTCATAAGAAAGGTTCTACACTGTGAGAGTAATACACATGTCAGAAAGAAGTTTCTCAGAATGTTCCGTCTAGTTTTTATGTGAAGACATTTCCTATCTCACCTTAGTCCTCAAAAGGCTGACAAATATCCCTTTGCAGATTCTACAATAAGACTTTTTTCCAAACTGATCAACGAAAAGAAAGGTTCAACTCTGATCAAGGAATGGACATCACACAAAGAAGTTTCTCAGAGTGCATCTGTCTAGTTATTATGTGAAGACATTTGTTTTTCACCATAGGCGTCAAACAGTTCAGAAATATCCCGTTGCAGATTGTACAAAAAGACTGTTTCCAAACTGCTCAATCAAAACAAAGGTTCGACACTGTGAGATGAATACACTCATCACAAAGACGTTTCTCAGAACGCTTCTGTTTAGTTTTTATGTGAAGATATTTCCTTTTTCACCATAGGCCTCAAAGCACTCCAAATATCCATTTGCAGACTCTACAAAAGGAGTGTTTCTAAACTGCTCAATCAAAAGAAAGATTCAACTCTGTGAGATGAATGCAAACATCATAAAGTAGTTTCTCAGAATGCTTCTGTCTAGTTTTTACGTGAAGATATTTCCTTTTTCACCATAGGCCTTAAACTGCTCACAAATATGCCTCTGCAGATACTACAAAAAGACTGTTTCCAAACTGCTCAATCTAAAGAAAGGTTCGACTCTGTGAGATGAAAGCACAAATCACAAAGAAGTTACTCAGAATGCTTCTTTCTAGTTTTTTTGTGGAGGTATTTCCTATTACACCATGGGCCTCAAAGGGCTCACAAGTATCCCTTTGCAGATTCTACAAAAGGACTGTTACAGAACTGCTCAATGAAAACTAAGTTTCAACTCTGTGAGATGAATGCACACCTAAAAAAGAAGTTTCTCAGCATGCTTCTGTCTAGTTTTTATGTGAAGATATTTCTTTTTCATCATAGGCCTCAAACCACTCAGAAATATCCCTATGCAGATTTTACAAAAAGACTGTTTCCAAACTGTTCAATGAAAAGAGATTATACACTGTAAGATGAAAGCACACATTAAAAAGAATTTTCTCAGAAAGTTTCTATCTAGTTTATATGTGAAGATATTTCCTCTTTCATCATAGGCCTCAAAGGGCTCAAAAATATCCCTTTTCAGATACTACAAACGGCCTCTTTCCAAACTGCTCAATCAAAAGAAAGTTTCAACTCTGTGAGATGAAAGCACACATCACAAATAAGTTTCTCAGAATGTTCGTCTAGTTGTTAAGTGAAGATATTTCCTATTTCACCATAGGCCATAAAGGTATCACAAATATCCCTTTGCAGAATCTACAAAAAGACTGTTTCCAAACAGCTCAATCAAAACAAAGGTTCAACTGTGTGAGATGAATGGACACATCACAAAGTAGTTTCTCAGAAAGCTTCTGTCTAGTTTTTATGGGAAGATATGTCTTTTTCACCATAAGCCTCAAATGGCTAAGAAATATCCCTTTACAGATTGTACAAAAAGACTGTTTCCAAACTGTCAAATGAAAAGAAAGGTTCAACTCTGTGAGATGAATGCAAACATCACAAAGAAGTTTCTCAGAAAATTTCTATCTAGTTTTTATGTGAAGATAGTTCCTTCTTCACAATAGGCTCAAAGCGCTCCAAATATCCATTTGCAGATTCTACAAAAAGACTGTTTCCAAACCGCTCAATCAAAAGAAAGGCTCAACTCTGTGAGATGAATGCACACATCACAAAGAAGTTTTTCAGAAAGTTTTATGTGAAGATATTTCCTTTTTCAACATAGGCTTCAAAGCACTCCACACATCCATTTGCAGATTCTACAAAAAGAGTGTTTCCAAACTGCTCAATCAAAAATAATGTTCAACTCTGTGAGATGAAAGCACACATCATAAAGAAGTTTCTCATAATGCTTCTGTCTAGTTTTTATGTGAAGATATTTCATATTTCACCATAGGCCTCAAAGAGCTCACAAATATCCCTTTGCAGACTCTACAAAAAGACAGTTTTTGAACTGCTCCATGCAAAGAAAGTTTCAACTCTGTGAGAGAATGCACACATAAAAAAGCAGTTTCTCAGAATGCTTCTGTCTAGTATTTATATGTAGATATTTCTTTTTCAACATAGGCATCAAACCGTTCAGAAATATCCCTTTGTAGATTGTACAAAAAGACTGTTTCCAAACTGCTCAATTAAAAGAAAGGTTCAACCCTATGAGATGAATGCACACATCACAAAGAAGTTTCTCAGGATGCTTCTGTCTAGTTTTCATATGAAGATATTTCTTTTTCACCGTAGGCCTCAAACCCCTCAGAAATATCCCTTTGCAGATTGTAGAAAAAGACTGTTTCCTAACTGCTCAATCAAAAGGATGGTTCAACTCTGTGAGATGAAAGCACACAACACAAAGAAGTTTCTCAGAAAGCTTCTGTCTAGTTTTTATGTGAAGATACTTCCCTTCTAACGATAGGCCTCAAAGTGATCCAAACATTGATTTGCAGATTCTACAAAAGACTGTTTCCAAACTGCTCAATAAAAAGAAATTTTTAACTCTGTGAGATGAAAGCACACATCACAAAGAAGTTACTCAGACAGCTTCTGTCTAGTTTTTATGTGAAGATATTTCCTATTTCACCTGAGGCCACAAAGGACTCACAAATATCACTTTGCAGATTCTATAAAAAGACTTTTTCCAAATTGTTGAATCAAAAGAAAGGTTCAACTCTGTGACATCTCAAAACAGTTTCTCATAATGCTACTGTCTACTTTTTATGTGAAGGTATTTCTCTTTCACCATAGGACTCTAACGGCTCAGAAATATCCCTTTCCATATTGTACAATAATACTCTTTCCAAAATGTTCAACCAAAAGAAACATTCAACTCTGTCAGATGAATGTAGACATCACAAACAAGTTTCTTGGAAAGTTTCTGTTTAGTTTTTATGTGAAGATATTTCTTTTTTCACCATAGGCCTCAAAGCACTCCAAATATCCATTTACAGATTCTACAAAAAGAGTCTTTCTAAACTGCTCAAATAAAAGACACTTTCAACTTTGTGAGATGAAAGCACACATCACAAAGAAGTTTCTTAGAAAGCTTCTGTCTAGTTATTATGTGAAGATATTTCATATTTCACCGTTGGCCTCAATGGGCTCAGAAATATCCCTTTTCAGATTCTACAAAAGGACTGTTTCCAAACTGCTCAAACTAAAGAAAGGTTCAACTCTGTGAGATGAATGCACACATCACAAAAGTTTCTCAGAATGCTTCTGTCTAGTTTTCATGTGAAGATATTTCTTTTTCACCATAGACCTCAAACTGCTCACAAATATCCCCCTGCAGATACTACAAAAAGACTGTTTCCAAACTGCTCAATCAAAATAAATGTTCAACTCTGTGAAATGAATGCACACGTCACAAAGAAGTTTCAGAGAATGCTTCAGTCTACTTCTTATGTGAATATAATTCCTTTTTCACGATAGGCCTCAAAACTCTACAAATATCTATTTGCAGATTCCAGAAAAAGAATGCTTCCAAACTGCTCAATCAAAAGAAAGTTTCAACTCTTTGAGATGAAAGCACACATCACAAAGAAGTTTCTTAGAAAGATTCTGTCTAGTTATTATGTGAAGATATTTCATATTTCACCGTAGGCCTCAATGGTTCAGAAATATCCCTTTGCAGTTTCTACAAAAGGACTCTTTCCAAACTGCTCACTCCAAAGAAATTTTCAACTCTGTTATATGAATTCACACATCACAAAATTTCTCAGAATGCTTCTGTCTAGATTTTATGTGAAGATATTTCCTTTTTCACCATAGGTGTCAAACTGCCCACAAATATCCCTCTGCAGATACTACAAAAAGACTGTTTCCAACCTGCTCAATCAAAAGAAATGTTCAACTATGTGAGACAAATGCACACATCACAAATAAGTTTCTCAGAAAGCTTCTGTCTACTTTTTATGTGAATATATTTCCTTTTTCAACATAGGCCTGAAAGCTCTCCAAATATCCCTTTGCAGATTCTACAAAAGGACTTTTTCCAAACTACTCAATCAAAACAAAGATTCAGCCCTGTGAGATGAATGCACACATCACAAAGTAGTTTATCAGAATACTTCTGTCTAGTTTTTATGTGAATACATTTCTTTTTCACCACAGGCCTCAAATGACTCAGAAATATCCCTTTGCAGATTGTCCAAAAAGACTCTTTCCAAACTGCTCAATCAAAGAAAAGGTTCAACATGTGAAATGAAAGTGCACATCACAAAGAAGTTTCTCAGATGGTTTCTTTGTAGTTTTAATGTGAAGATATTTCCTTTTTCATTATACGCCTCAGTGGATTCAAAAATATCCCTTTGGAGATCCTACAAAAGGCCTCTTTCCAAACTGCTCTAACAAAGGAAAATTTCAACTCTGTGAGGTGAATGCACACATCACAAATAAGTTTCTCAGAAAGCTTCTAATTTTTATGTGAAGATATTTCATATTTCACCTTAAGCCATAAAGGGATCACAAATATCCCTTTACAGAATATACAAAAAGACTGTTTCCAAGCTGCTCCATCAAAAGAAAATTTCAACTGTATGAGATGAATGAACACATCACACAGAAGTTTCTCAGAAAGCTTCTGTCTAGTTTTTATGTGAAGATATTTCTTTTTCACCATAGGCCTCAAACGTCTAAGAAGTATCCCTTTGCAGATTGGACAAAAAGACTGTTTCAAAACTGCTCAATAAAAAGAAATTTTCAGCTTTGTGTGATGAATGTACACATCACAAAGAACTTTCTCAGAATGCTTCTGTCTAGTTTTTATCTGAAGATATTTACTCTTTCACCATGGGCCTTAAACCAATCCCAAATATCCCTCTGCATATACTTCAAAAAGACTGCTTCCAAACTGCTCAATGAAAAGAAAGGTTCAACTCTGTGAGATAAAAGCACACATCACAAAGAAGTTCTTCAGAAGGTTTCTAACTAGGTTTTATATGAAGATATTCAGTTTTTCACCACAAGTCACAAAGCGCTCCAAATATCCATTTGCAGATATATCAAAAAGACTGCTTCCAAACTGCTCAATCAAAACAAAGTTCCAACTCTCTGAGATGAATGCAAATATCACAAAGAAGTTTCTCAGAATGCTTCTGTCTAGTTTTTCTGTGAAGATATTTCTTATTTCACCATGGGCCTCAAGGGGCTCACATAGATCCTTTGGCAGATTCTACTAAAAGACTGTTTCTGAACTTCTCAATGAAAAGAAACGTTCAACTCTGGGAGGTGAATGCACACATAAAAAGAAGTTTCTCAGAATGCCTCTGTCTAGTTTTTATGTGAAGATATTTCTTTTTCACCATAGGCCTGAAACAGCTAAGAAATTTCCCTTTGCACCTTCTACAAAAGACTGTTTCCAAACTGCTCAATGGAAAGAAAGGTTGAATTCTGTGACATGAATTCACACATCACAAAGAAGTTTCTCAGAAATTTTCTGTCTAGTTTTTATGTGAAGGTACTTCCTTTTTCACCATGGGCCTCAAATAGCTCCAAATATCCATTTGCAGATTCTACAAAAAGATTTTCCAAACTGCTTAATCAAAAGAAACGTTCAACACTGTGAGATGAAAGCACACATCACAAAGAAGTTTCTCAGAATGCTTCTGTCTAGTTTTTATGTGAAGATATTTTGTATTTCACCACAGGCCCTAAAGGGCTCACAAATATCCCTTTGCAGATTCTACAAAACGACTGTTTCCAAACTGCTCAATCAAAAGAAATGTTCAACTCTGTGACATGAATGGACACATCACAAAGAAGTTTCTCATGAATGCTTCTGTCTAGTTTTTATGTGCAGATGTTTCATTTTCACCATAGGCCTCAAATGGCCCAGAAATATCCCTTTGCAGATTGTACAAAAAGACTGTTTCCAAACTGCTCAATCAAAGCAAAGGTTCAACACTGTGAAATGAAAGTGCACATCACAAAGAAGTTTCTCAAAATGTTTTTGTCTAGTTTTTATGTGAGTATATTTCCTTTTTGACCATAGGCCTCAAAGCTCTCCAAATATCCTTTTGTAGATTCTTCAAAAAGACTGTTTCCAAAGTGATCAATCAAAAGAAAGGTTCAACTCTGTAGGATGAAAGCATATATCACAAAGTAGTTTCTCAGAAAGCTTCTGTCTAGTATTTCTGTGAAGATATTTCCTATTTCACCATAAGCCTCAAAGGGATCACAAATATCCCTTTGCAGATTCTACAAAAACACTGTTTCCAAACTGCTTAATGAAAAAAAATGTTCAACTCTGTGAGGTGAATGCACATATAAAAAAGAAGTTTCTCAGAATGCTTCTGTCTAGTTTTTATGTGAGGATATTTCTTTTTCACCACAGGCCTGAAACCACTCAGAAATATTCCTTTGCAGATTGCACAAAAAGAATGTTTCCAAACTCCTCAATGAACAGAAAGGTTCAACTCTTTGAGATGAATGCAAACATCACAAAGAGTTATCTCAAAAACTTCTGCCTGGTTTTTATGTGAAGATATTTAGTTTTTCACCATAGGCTTCAAACTGCTCAAAAATATACCTTTGCAGATTCTATACAATGACTTGTTCCCAAACTGCTCAATGAAAAGAAAGGTTCAAATCTGTGATATGAAAGCACGCATCACAAAGAAGTTTCTCAGAATGCTTGTGTCTAGTTATTATGTGAAGATATTTCCTATTTCACTATAGGACTCAAAGGGCTCAGAAATATCCCTTTGCAGATTCTACAAAAGGACTGTTTCCAAACTGCTCAATCAAAAAAAAGGTTCAATTCTGTGAGATGAAAGCACGCATCACAAAGAAGTTTCTCAAAAAGATTCTGTCTAGTTTTTATGTGAAGATATTTCCTATTTCACCATAGTCCTCAAAGGGCTCAGAAATATCCCTTTGCAGATTCTATGAAAAGACTGTTTCCAAACTACTGAATGCAATGAAAGGTTCAACTCTGTGGGATGAATGCACACATCACAGAGAAGTTTCCTGGAATGTTTCTGTCTAATTTTATGTGAAGATATTTCTTTTTCACCATAGGCCTCAAATCACTCAGAAATATCCCTTTACAGATTGTGCAAAAAGACGGTTTCCAAACAGCTCAATGAAAAGGAAGATTCAACTCTGGGAGATGAATACAAACATCACAAAGAGGTTTCTCAAAAATCTTCTGTCTGGTTTTTATGTGAAGGTATTGCCTTTTTCACCACAGGCCTCAAGCCACTCATAAATATTCCTTTTCAGATTCTCCAAAAAGACCGTTTCCAAACTGCTCAATGAAAGAAAGGTTAAACTCTGAGATGAAAGCACACATCACAAAGAAGTTTCTCAGAACGCTTTTGTCTAGTTTTATGTGAAGAAATTTCCTTTTTTCACCATAGGCCTCAAAGCGCTCCAAATATCCACCTGCAGATTCTACAAAAAGACTGTTTCCAAATTGCTCAATCAAAAGAACTGTTCAACTCTGTGAGATGAATGCACACATAACAAAGAAGTTTCTCAAAAAACTTCTGTTTACTTTTTATGTGAAGATATTTCCTTTTTCACCATGGGCCTCAAAGCACTCCAAATATCCACTTGCAGATTCTACAAAAAGAGTGTTTCCAATCCACTCAATCAAAAGAAAGGTTCCACTCTGTGAGATGAAAGCACACATCACAAAGAAGTTTCTTAGAAACCTTCTATCTAGTTTTTATGTGAAGATATTTCACATTTCAAAGTAGGCCTCAATGAGCTAAAAACTGTTTCCAAACAGCTCAATCAAAAGAAAGGCTTAACTCTGTGAGATGAATGCACACATCACAAAGAACGTTCTCAGAATGCTTCTGTCTAGTTTTTTTGAGAAGCCATTTCCTTTTTCACTATAGGCCTTGGTCCACTCACTAATAGCCCTCTGCAGATACTACAAAAAGACTCTTTCCAAACTGCTCAATAAAAATAAAGGTTCAAATCTGTGAGATGAAAGCCCACATCACAAAAAGTTTCTCAGAAAGATTCTGTCTAGTTTTTATGTGAAGATATTTCCCATTTCACCTTAGGCCTCAAAGGGATCACAAATATCCCTTTTCAGATTCTACAAAAAACTGTTTCCAAACTACTTCATAAACAGAAAGGTTCAACTCTGTGAGATGAATGCACACATAAAAAATTAGTTTCTCAGAATGCTTCTGTCCAGTTTTTATGTGAAGATATTACTTTTTCACCATAGGTCTCAAACCACAAACAAATATTCATTTGCAGATTGCACAAAAAATATGTTTCCACACTGCTCAATAAACAGAAAGGTTCAACTCAATGAGATGAATGCAAACATCACAATGAGTTTTCTCAAAATGTTTCTGTCTAGGTTTTATGTGAAGATATTTACCTTTTCACCATAGGCCTCAAGCCGCTCACAAATATCCCTTTGCAGATTCTACAAAATGACTTGTTGCCAAACTGCTCAATGAAAACGAAGGTCCAAATCTGTGAGATGAAAGCACGCATCACAAAGTAGTTTCTCAGACAGTTTCTGTCTAGTGTTTATTTGCAGATATTTCCTTTTTCACCATAGGCCTCAAAGCACTCCAAGTATCCATTTGTAGGCTCTACAAAAAGAGTGTTTCCAAAGTGCTCAATCAAAAGAGAGGTTGAACTCTGTGAGCTGAAAGCACACAGCATGAAGAAGTTTTTCAGAAAGCTTCTGTCAAGTTTTTATGTGAAGATATTTCCTATTTCACCATAGGCCTCAATGGGCTCACAAATATCCCTTTGCAGATTCTACAAAAGGACTCTTTCCAAACAGCTCAATCAAAGGAAAGTTTCAACTCTGTGACATGAATGCACACATCACAAATCAGCTTCTCAGAATGCTTCTATCTAGTTTTTATATGAAGATATTTCCTGTTCATCATAGGCCTAAAATGCTGCAAATATCCATTTGCAGATTCTACAAAAAGACTGCTTATAACCTGCTCAATCAAAGGAAAGTTCAACTCTGTGCGATGAAAGCACACATCACAAAAAAGTTTCTCAGAAAGCTTCTATCTATTTTTTCTGTGAGGCTATTTCCTATTTCCCCACAGGCCTCAATGAACCCACAAATATCCCTTTGCAGATTCTACAAAAAGACTGTTTCCGAACTGCTCAATGAAAAGAAAGTTTCAACTCTGTGATGTGAAAGCACCCACAAAACAGAAGTTTCTCAGATTGCTTCTGTATAGTTTTTATGTGAAGATATTACTTTTTCACCATAGGCCCCAAACCGCTCAGAAATATTCCTTTGCAGATTGTACAAAAGGACTGTTTCCAAACTGCTCAATGAAAAGGAAGATTCATCTCTGTGAGATGAATGCACACATAAAAAAGAAGTTTCTCAGAATGCTTCTGTCTAGTTTTTATGTGAAGATATTTCCTTTTTCACCATAGGCCTTAAACTGCTCACAAATATCCCTCTGCAGATACCACAAGAAGACTGTTTCCAAACTGCTCCATGAAAACAATGGCTCAACTCTGTGAGATTAATGCACACATCACACAGAAGTTTCTCAGAATGATTCTTTTTAGTT
Source organism: Homo sapiens (assembly GCF_000001405.40). Lineage (NCBI taxonomy): Eukaryota > Metazoa > Chordata > Mammalia > Primates > Hominidae > Homo > Homo sapiens. Next base: position 11,240,281 of record NC_000022.11, read on the forward strand.
TTTATGTAAAGGTATTTCCTATTTCATCATAGGCTGTAAAGGGCTCAACAATATCCGTTTGCATATTCTAAAAAAAGACTGTTTCCAAACTGCTCAAACAAAAGAAATGTTCAACTCTGTGAGATGAATGCACACATCAAAAGGAAGTTTCTCAGAATGCTTCTGTCTAGTTTTTATGTGAAGATATTTCTTTTTCACCATAGGCCTCAAACGGCTCAGAAATATCCCTTTGCAGATTTTACAAAAAGACTGTTTCCAAACTGCTCAATCAAAAGAAAGGTCCAACACTCTGAGATGAATGCACACATCACAAAGAAGTTTCTCAGAAGGCTTCTGTTTTGTTTTTATTTGAAGATATTTCCTTTTTCACCATAGGCCTCAATGGGCTAAGAAATATCCCTTTGCAGATGCTACAAAAGGAATTTTTAGAAAACTGCTGAATCCAAAGACAGATTCAACGCTGTGAGATGAATGCACACATCACACAGAAGTTTCTCAGAATGCATCTGTCCAGTATTTTTTATGTGAATATGTTTTCTTTTTCACCATAGGCCTCAAAGCAGTCCAAATACCCATTTGCAGATTCTACAAGAAGAGTGTTTCCAAACTGCTCAATCAAAAGAAAGGTTCAACACTGTGACATGAAAGCACACATCACAAAGAAGTGTCTCAGAAAGCTTCTGTCTAGTTTTTTTTTGTGAAGATATTTCCTATTTCACCATGGGCCATATAGGGCTCACAAATATTTTTTGCAGATTCTACAAAAAGACTGTTTCCAAACTGCTCAATCCAAAGAAAGTTTCAACTCTGTGAGATGAATGGACACATCACAAAAAAGTTTACCAGAATGCTTCTGTCTAGTTTTTATGTGAAGATATTACTTTTTCACCCTAGGCTTCAATGGGCTCAGAAATATCCCTTTGCAGATCCTACAAAAGGTCTGTTTCCAAACTGCTCAGTCAAAGAAAAGTTCACCTCTATGAGATGAATGCACACATCACAGAGATGTTTCTCAGAATGCTTCTGCCTAGTTTCTATGTGAAGGTATTTCCTTTTTCACCATAGGCCTCAACGCTCCAAACATCCATTTGCAGATTCCACAAAAAGACTGTTTCCAAACTGCTCAATCAAAAGAGAGGTTCAACTCTGTGAGTTGAAAGCACACATCACAAAGAAGTTTCTCAGAAAGTTTCTGTCTAGTCTTTCTGTGAGGATAATTCCTGTTTCACCATGGGCCATAAAGGGCTCACAAATATTTTTTGCAGATTCTACAAAAAGATTGTTTCCAAACTTCTCAATACAAAGAAAGGTTCAACTCTGTGAGATGAATGGACACAACACAAAGAAGTTTCTCAAAATGCTTCTGTCTAGTGTTTATGTGAGATATTTCCTTTTTCACCATAGGCCTCAAAGCGCTCCAAATATCCATTTGCAGATTCTACAAAAAGACTGTTTCCAAATTGCTCAATGAAAAGAAAGTTTCAACTCTGTGAGGTGAAAACACACATCACAAAGAAGTTTCTCAGAATGTATCTTTCTAGTTTTTTTTGTGAGGATCTTTTCCTTTTCACCATAGGCCTCAAACCACTCCAAGTATCCATTTGCAGATTCTACCAAAAGACTGTTTACAAACTGCTAAATCAAAAGAAAGGTTCAGCCCTGTAATATGAATGAACGTATCACAAAGAAGTTTCTCAGAAAGTTTCTGTTTAGTGTTTATCTGAAGATATTTCCTTTTTCACCATAGGCCTCAAAGTGCTCTGAATGTGCATTTCCAGATTCTACAAAAAGTCTGTTTCCAAACTGCTCAATGAAAAGAAAGGTTCAACTTTGTGAGATGAAAGCACACATCACAAAGAAGTTTCTCAGAATGTTTCTTTCTAGTTTTTTTGTGAAGATATTTCCTTTTTCACCATAGGCCTCAAAGCACTCCAAATATCCATTTACAGATTCTACAAAAAGACTGTTTACAAACAGCTCAATCAAAAGAAAGTTTCAACGCTGTGAGATGAATGCACGCATTACAAAGTAGTTTCTCAGAAATCTTTTGTTTAGTTTTTATGTGAAGATATTTCCTTTTTCACCATAGGCCTCAAAGCACTCCAATTATCCACTTGCAGATTCTGCAAAAAGAGTGTTTCCAAACTGCTCAGTCAAAAGAAACCCTCAGTTCTTTGAGATGAAAGCACTCATTAAAAGAGGTTTCTCAGAAAGCTTCTGTCTAGCTTTTATGTGAAGATATTTTCTATATCACCAAAGGCCTCAATGAGCTCAGAAATATCCCTTTGGGGATTCTACAAAGGACTGCTTCCAAACTGCTCTAGCAAAAGAAAGCTTCAACTGTGTGAGATGAATGCACCCATCACAAAAAAAGTTTCTCAGAATGTTTCTGTGTAGTTTTTATATGAAGATATTTCCTACTTCACAATAGGCCTCAAAGGGTTCACAATTATCCCTTTGTAGATTTTACAAAAAAAAAGTGTTTCCAAATCTTCAATCAAAGAAATGTTCAACAGTGTGAGATGAATGCAAATGTCAGAAAGAAGTTTTTCAGAATGCTTCCATCTAATTTTTATGTGAAGATATTTCATTTTTCACCATAGGCCTCAAAGCGATCCAAATATCCATTTGCAGTTTCTACAAAAAGACTGTTTCCAATCTGCACAATTGAAAAACATTTTCAAATCTGTGAGATGAAAGCACACATCACAGAGAAGTTTCTCAAAAAGCTACTGTCTAGTTTTTATGTGAAGATATTTCCTATTTCACCATAGGCCATAAAGGGCTCACAAATATACATTTGCAGATGCTACAAAAATACTGTTACCAAACTGCTTAATCAAAAGAAAATTTCAACTCTGTGAGATGAATGGACACATCACAAAGTAGTTTCTAAGAATGCTTCTGTCTAGTTTTTATTGGAAGATATTTCTTTTTCATCATAGGCCTCAAACGGCTCAGAAATATCCCTTTGCAGATTGTACAAAAAGACTGTCTCCAAACTGCTCAATCAAAAGAAAGGTTCAACTCTGTCAGATGAATTCAAACATCACAAAGAGGTTTCTCAAAATGCTTCTGTCTAGTTTTTATGTGAAGGTATTTCCTTTTTCACCACATGCCTCAAATGGCTCACAAATATCCCTTTGCAGATTCTACAAAAAGACTGTTTCCAAACTGCTCAATGAAAAGAAAGTTTAAACTCTGTGAAATGAAATCTCTCATCACAAAGAAGTTTCTCAGAATGCTTCTGTCTCGTTTTTATGTGAAGAACTTTCCTTTTTCACCATAGGCCTCAAACCGCTCCAAATACCCATTTGCGGATTCTACAAAAAGACTGTTTCCAACTGCTCAATCAAAAGAATGGTTCAACTCTGTGAGATGAGTGCATGCATCACAAAAAAAGTTGATCAGAAAGCTTCCATTTAGTTTCTATGTGAAGATATTTCCTTTTTTACCATGGGCCTCAAAGTCCTCCAAATATCCATTTGCAGATTCTACAAAAAGAGTGTTTCCAAACTGCTCAATCAAAAGAAAGGTTCAACTCTGTGAGATGGAAGCACGCAGCACAAAGAAGTTTCTTAGAAACCTTCTGTCTAGTTTTTATGTGAAGATATTTCATAATTCACCATAGGCCTCAATGGGCTCAGAAATATACCTTTGCAGATTCTACAAAATAATTGTTTCCAAACTGCTCAATCCAACGAAAGGTTCAACACTGTGAGATGAATTCACACATCACAAAGAAGTTTCTCAGAAAGCTTCTGTCTAGTTTTTATGTGAAGATATTTCCTTTTTCAACATAGGCCTCAAACCACATGCAAACATCCCTTAGGAGATACTACAAAAAGACTGTTTCCAAACTGTTCAATCAAAAGAAAGGTTCAACTCTGTATGATAAATGCACATGTCACCAAGAAGTTTCTCAGAATGCTTCTGTCTAGTTTTTATGTGAGGATATTTCCTTTCTCAACAAGGTCTCAAACCTCTCCAAATGTCCATTTGCAGATTCTACAAAAAGATGTTTTCCAAACTGCTCAATGAATAGAAAGGTTCAACTCTGTGAAACGAAAGCACATATCACAAAGAAGTTTCATAGAATGTTGCTTTCTAGGTTTCTGTGAAAATATTTCCTTTTTCACCATAGTCCTCAAAGTGCTCCAAATATCCATTTGCAGATTCTACAAAAAATGTGTTTCAAAACTGCTCAATAAAAAGAAAGGTTCAACTCTGTGAGATGAAAGCACACATCAAAAAGAAGTTTCTCAGAAATCCTCTGACTAGTTTTTATGTGAAGATATTTCCTATTTCACCATAGGCCTCAAAGGGCTCACAAACATCCCTTTGCAGATTCTACAAAAGGACTGTTTTGAAACTGCTCAATCAGAAGAAAGATTCAACTCTGTGAGATGAATGTATACATCACAAAGAAGTTTCTAAGAATGCTTCTGGCTAGTTTTTATGTGAAGATATTTCCTTTTTCACCATAGGCCTCAAAGCGCTCCAAATATCTATTTGCATATTCTACAAAAAAGACTGTTTCCAAACTCCTCAATGAAAAGAGAGCTTCAACTCTGTGAGATGAAAGCACACTTCACAAAAAAGTTTCTCAGAATGCTTCTGTCTAGTTTTTATGTGAAGATATTTCCTATTTCACCTTAGGCCATAAAGGACTCATAAATATCCCTCTGCAGATTCTAGAAAAGGACTCTTTCCAAAGTGCTCAATCAAAAGAAAGGTTCAACTCTGTGAGATGAATGCGCACATCACAAAGAAGTTTCTCAGAAAGCTTCTGTCCAGTTTTTTATATGAAAATATTTCCCTTTTCACCATACCTATCAAAGCGCTCAAAATATCCCTTTGCAGATTCTCTAAAAAGACTCTTTCCAAACTTCTCAATCAAAAGAATGGTTCAACTCTGTGAGATGAATGCGCATATCACAAAGAAGTTTCTCTGAAATCTTCTGTCTAGTTTTTATGTGAAGATATTTCCTTTTTCACCATAGGCCTCAAGCCACTCACAAATATCCCTTTGCAGATTTTACAAGAACAGAGTTTCCAGACTCGTCAAAAAATAGAAACTTTTATCTCTGTGAGATAAATGCACACCTTGCAAAACAGCTTCTCAGAAACATTCTTTATACTTTTTATTGAAGATATTTCCTTTTTCACCATAGGCCTCAGAGAGAGGACAAATATACCTTTGCCAATTCTACAAAAATACTGTTTCCAAACTGCTCAATCAAAAGAATGGTTCAACTCTGTGAGATGAATGCACACATAGCTATGAACTTTCTCAGAAACTTCTGTCAAGTTTTTATGCCATGATACTTCCTTTTTCACCATAGGCCTCAAACTCCTCACAAATATCCCTTTGCAGATTGCACAAGAAAAGAGTTTCCCATCTGCTCAATGAAAAGAAACGTTTACCTCTGTGAGATGAATGCACACATTACAAAGCAGTTTCTCAGAAACCTTCTGTCTAGTTTTTATGTGAAGATATTTCCTTTTTCACCATAGGTCTCAAAGTGTTCACAAATATCCCTTTGCATATTCTACAAAAAGACTGTTTCCAAATTGCTCAATCAAAGGAATGGTTCAACTCTGTGAGATGAGTGCACACATCACACAGATGTCTCTCAAAAGCTTCTGTCTAGTTTTCATGTGAAGATATTTCCTTTTTCACCATAAGCCTGAAAGTGTTCACAAATATCCATTTGCAGATTCTACAAAATACTGTTTCCAAAATGCTCAATCAATAGAAAGGTTCAACTCTGTGAGATGAAGTCACACATCACAAATCAGTTTCTCAGAAACCTTCTTTCTAGTTTTTATGTGAAGACATTTCCTTTTTCAACATAGGCTTCAAAGCGCTCACAAATATCCCTTTGCAGATTCTACAAGAAGACTGTTACCAAACTGCTCAATCAGAAGAATGGTTCTACTCTGTGAGATGAACTACACATCAAAAAAAAAAGTTTCTCAGAAATCGTCTGTCTAGTTTTTATGTGAAGATATTTCCTTTTTCATCATTGGCCTCAAAGTGCTCACAAATATCCCTTTGCCAATTTTACAAAAATACTGTTTCCAAACTGCTCAATCAAAAGAATGGTTCAACTCTGTGAGATGAATGCACACACAACCAGGAATTTTCTCAGAAACTTCTGTCAAGTTTTTATGCGATGATATTTCCTTTTTCACCACAGGCCTCAAACTGCTCACAAATATCCCTTTGCAGATCCTACAAGAACAGAGTTTCCAATCTGCTCAATGAAAAGAAACATTTACCTCTGTGACATGAACACCCACATCACAAAGCAGTTTCTCATAAATCTTCTTTCTAGTTTTTATGTGAAGATATTTCCTTTTTCACCATAGGCCTCAAAGTGCTCACAAATATCCCTCTGCAGATTCTACAAAAACACCATTTCCAAGCTTTTCAATCAAAAGAATGGTTTAACTCTGTGAGATGAATCCACACGTCACAAAGTAGTTTCTCAGAAAGCGTCTGTCTAGTTTTTATGTGAAGATATTTCCTTTTTCACCATAGACCTCAAAGCACTCACAAATATCACTTTGCAGATTGTACAAGAACAGAGTTTCCAGACTGATCAAGGGAATGAAACGTTTAACTCTGTGAGATGAATGCAGACATCACAAAGCAGTTTCTCAGAAACATTCTTTATAGTTTTTATGTGAAGGTATTTCCTTTTTCACCATGGCCTCAAAGTGCTCACAGATATCCCTTTGCAGATTCTACAACAACAAAATTTCCAAACTGCTCATAATTAGTTTTTAGGACCAACATGAGCATTTAGAAACACTGCTTGTGGTGCAGCACACATGTGTTATCCACACTGAAATGAGGAATTCAACAGAAGTTCATGTAGAGCCCAAAATGTGAATATTTGGGGGACCTTGGAGATGATCTAGTTCACTTTATTTTGTAGAAAAGAAAACAGATTCAGGGAAATGGCATGCATTGCCTAAGGTGATTCTGCAGCTTTGGTGCAGAAACAAAACACAGCTAAGGTGATTCATCAGGTTTGGAGCAGAAACGCAATACAATCTCTGTTCTTTTGCTTCTCAGATCCAGAATTTTTTCACAATACTGAACTACTTACGTTTCTGATTCCTTATTTTTTCTTTTAAAATTTTGCCAGTATTGTCTTACAAAGATCCTATTCTTTACCCTAAATATTTAAATTGGTTACCACTATTGTCTCTTTATAAGTAAAATTACTAGTAGTTATTATAAATGATTATTCAATCACTTTTCATTTTTGGGGGTCCAGTACAAAGTTAGTAACAAAGAAACACTATTGGCCTTGGCAATCCAAGAGGAGCTCAAGTCCTCCAGGGCACGTCAGAAAAAGGCTAAATGACAGCTGTGCTGCGAGTGGACAGGATACAGCTCTCATACAGACTATTGAATATTTGATGTTCTTCAACAATTTCATTAATCTTCAGTTTTTTTCCTCTTTGAAGTGAAAGTCTGCTATGACTTTCAAGTTTCTTTTGAAATAATTATAGATTCACAGGAAGTTGCAAAAGGTACAGGGATGTCTTAGGTACTCTTCACTAATTCCAGTGGTGACATCTCGCATAGCCATAGAGCATTATCAAAACCTGGAAACTGACATAGGTACAATTCAGAAAGCTTACTCAGATCGCAACTGTTTTGCATGCATTCATTTTTGTACGTGTGTATGCGTGTGCGGGTGTTCTGTTCATTTTTATGTGGTGTAGATCTCTGTAACTACCACTTCGACAGTCAAGATGCAGAACTGTAGCCTCACCATCAGGCTCCATCTTGGGATCTTTGCTGACACTCTAACACATTTTCCTCCACCCCTTCCCCTTGGCAACCCCATAGTCTGTTCTCCATCTTTACAATTTTATTTCAATAATTTATATAAATGTAATTGTACAAAATCGTATCTTTAAAGGGAAAAAACAAGCCACAGATAGTTTTGTTAGCACTGTAAAATAGTCTTTAACATTCATCTGTTTTATGTTCTATTTGTCTCAGAAAATGTGCTTTGTTCTTTCCCATACTTTCTGATATCAGGATAGGAAATCAATACCAAACAAAACAATTCCATTCATTTTTTTCCACAGCTTTGTTTTCACTGTTGTTGCCTAACATTTATTGTTGCATTTACTCTTTCTCTCTGTTTTCCATCACATAAAAGTAACTTTGTGTTCTTTATCTCTTCTAAGAAAACTTGGTAATGAGCCTTTAATGTGACGACTGGACCACCCTTGTTTTGATTTTATGTTATGGATGTTCTTTTATGTGATCGTTCTCATGGAGAATCCTTGTGAAGCTGGGCTTTTCCAGTGGTTTGTCAAAATGGAAATAGATATTTAACAAACCAAACACAAAATGACCTTGTTCCAGGAATGCATCATTTCTGAGAAAACACTACCTCTTCCAACTAGATATTGTGAATATTACTCATATTATCTTTTACTCCCTTTTATTAAAACTGTATTTTTTTACACTTTTGTGTAACTCGGGTAATGAAATGTGAAACTAAGTGATTGCCTACCAATTACAATTGATGTTAATGATGCTACTGGGAGGCCACCCCTACAGTGGCTGCACCAAGTCTAGGGACATGCTAGCTTTGTTAAGTTACATGAGATTGCCTACGTACTAAATGGAGGTGGGGCATGGGTCCGAGGATGCGGCGGTGCTGCCCTGCCCCAACATGGAAGCTCCGGATGGGGCCCCAGGCACCGCGTGGCCCAGAGCCGGAGGTGGGCACGCGATAGTGGACGACACCACAGCGTCCAGCGGATCTCCAGCAGGGGCAAGCGAACCATGGGACCATGGCCACGAGCACTGCCAGACGGGCCGTGTGGCAGGCTTCCGGGCCCGGACACACCATGACGTGCCGGGCGGGCGGGGGGTGGGCAGGGGGTGGGCGGGCGAGGAGGATGGTGCCTCAGAGGAGTGTTGGGGACGAGGGGCACTGGAGCTGCGGTCAGCCAGTCACTGGGCCGCCTCCAGGGGTGGACGGTGAACCGCAGCGACTGGGACGTGCTCCCCCACCCTCTCCCCGGTGGACCCTTCCTATTTGCCTTCCTCCCAACCCCCAGCAAGCCTCCACCACCGACGACATGAGACAACGACGGCATGGGACCTTCCACCCCGCCAGGGCCAATGAACCCTGCACCATGAGCTGCATGAGGCATGAGGGAGCCCCCAAGGGAGGATCCCAGACCATGAAGGTGGCCACAGGAACTCAGCCACAGCCGGCTATCTTCCCTTTCTGTTTTCACAAGTGGCGGTGCTGCCCTCTCTCTCTTCCTCACAGCCGGGAGCCCCCCTTCCCCACGCCACCCAACGCGTGACCACACAGGGCCTGCGGGGGGAGGGGGAAGGGACGGGCACAGTGGGAGAGGAGGGCGGATGTCACCGGTCTGCACTTGGGGGGACAGAGGGCCCTGTGGGCCCTGCCACAGAACAGCTGGGCACCCCAAGGAGCCCAGAGGCAACCCTGGGGAATTTTGATCGGCAAGCGACGCTCAGACAGGCATAGCCCTGGGAGGAACCCAGGCCACAAGTGCATTCAAGTGTCGATGATCAATGTGTCCTGCAGTTCACATTAATTCTCCCAGCTAGCTGCATTCTTCATTGATGCAGGAGCTGAGTGATCCACCACTAAAAGTCATACAAGGTTGATTTGGCGAGGGCACTCCCAACAACGGGAGGCCCTCCTGGCACAGCACGTCCCCCAGAGGGGTTACCTCAGGCCGGCCAGTCAGACAGCAACGGGACCAGACTCCAGAGAGGGGTTGGAAGGTTTCACAACACAGGGAGGTGGTGCCAACCACGGGGGGGACAAAGGCTGACACCACCCCATGGGAGCCCAGGGGTTCCCGCCCCCACAGTGCGGGGTACAGGCCACATGCAAGGCATGTGTGACAGCACGATGGCCGCTGGGTAAAGCCCCCACCGGCATCAGCGGCGACACGCAAGTGTGGCGTGGCCCCCGGCTGGCCGGGGGGATGGAGTCAGCAGGGGAGGCGAGGGAGGGGCGGGCCCCTCCTGAACGGACTCCACTGAGGGCCCACTGCACCTGACCCACAGGCAGACTGGCGACCCCCCAAGGGGTCCTTAAACCTCCGCACCAGAATGCGCTAGGTACCTGGATGGTGGGGGCGGATGAGGGGGGTGGGACCGGCGTCCAGCCCCCTACCCTCGAGACCCCCTAGCGGGAAGGCTGGGGAGAGCAAGCAGGCTGGGCCGGGCCAGTGGCATGGTTTGACAGAGGCGACGATGGTGGCAGCGGCAGCGATGGGAACCTGGCCAGCCCCAACGGGAGCGGGCGGGATGGGGCCAAGACAGTGCGACAGGGCATGATGACGGCCCCAGTGGGGAGGGCACCGAGACCCCCACCCCACCATGACGCCGAGAACCACCCCCGCGCCCACCGACGCACACATGGGGGCCACAACAGGGGACCGCTCCCCACTGCTCACCAGGCCGGCGAGCCATCCAGCCCACCCCACGACAAGCACACAGTTTCATCCCCACACGCATGTCTCTCTCTACCCCCTCTCTCCCTTCTGAGTTCTCTGGCTCTCGGGGCAGATGGGGCCATGCAACGAACAAAGGGCATGACCCCACCCATGCATGCGCCACAGGGGAACACAGTCAGCCAAGGAGGAAGGACATGGCGGCATCTCCATGGCTTTGCTCTTCTCTGTTAATGATCCCTCCGCAGGTTCACCTACCGAAACTTTGTTACGACTTTTACTTCCTCTAGATAGTCAAGTTCGACTGTCTTCTCAGCGTTCCGACAGGGCAGTGGGCTGACCCGGAGGGGCTGATCCGAGGGCCTCACTAAACCATCCAATCAGGAGTAGCAACCTGCAGTGTGTACAAAGGACAGGGACTTCATGCAAGCTTATGACCAGCACTTACTGGGAATTCCTCATTCATGGGGAAAAATTGCAATCAATGATCACCATTGCCAATGAGGTTCAACAGGTTACCCACATCTGCCACATAGGGTAGGCACACGCTGAGCCAGTCAGTGCAGCGCACGTGCAGCCCTGGACATTTAAGGGCATCACAGACCTGTTATTGCTCAATCTCAGGTGGCTAAACTTGTCCCTCTAAGAAGTTGGGGGATGCCAACCACTCGGGGGTCGCATAACTAGTTGGCATGCCAGAGTCTCGTTCATTATTGGAATTAACCAGACAAATCACTCCAGCAACTAAGGCCATGCACCACCACCTGTGGAATTGAGAAAGAGCTATCAATCTGTCAATCCTGTCCGTGTCCAGGCCAGGTGAGTTTTCCCATGTTGAGTCAAATTAAGATGCAGGCTCCACTCCTGGTGGTGCCCTTCTGTCAATTCCTTTAAGTTTCAGCTTTGCAACCATACTCCCCTCGGAACCCAAAAACCCAAAGACTTTGGTTTCTTGGAAGCTGCCCAGCGGGTCATGGGAATAACGCTGCCACATCGCCAGTCGGCATCGTTTATGGTCGGAACTACAACGGTATCTGATCGTCTTCGAACCTCTGACTTTCGTTCTTGATTAATGAAAACATTCTTGGCAAATGCTTTCGCTCTGGTCCAAACTGTGCCAGTCCAAGAATTTCACCTCTAGCGGTGCAATATGAATGCCCCCGGCCGTCCCTCTTAATAATGGCCTCAGTTCCGAAAACCAACAAAATAGAACCGTGGTCCTATTCCATTATTCCAAGCTGCAGTATCCAGGCGGCTTGGGCCTGCTTTGAACACTCTAATTTTTTCAAAGTAAACGCTTCGGGCCGCAGGACACTCAGCTAAGAGCATCCAGGGGGCACCGAGAGGCAAGAAGCAGGGACAGGCTGTGGCTCGCTAGCCCACCCGTTCCCAAGATTCAACTACGAGCTTTTTAACTGCAACAACTTTAATATACGCTATTGGAGCTGGAATTACCATGGCTGCTGGCACCAGACTTTCCCTCCAATGGATCCTCATTAAAAGATTTAAAGTGGACTCATTCCAATTACAGGGCCTTGAAAGAGTCCTGTATTGTTATTTTTTGTCACTACCTCCCGTGTCAGGAGTGGGTAATTTGAGTGTCTGCTGCCTTCCTTGAATGTGGTAGCCGTTTCTAAGTCTCCTTCTCCAGAATTGAACCCTAATTCCCTGTCACCCGTGGTCACCATGGTAGGCACAGCGACTACCATAGAAAGTTGATAGGGCAGACGTTCGAATGGGTCATCGCTGCCACGGGGGGCATGCGATTGGCCTGAGGTTATCCAGAGGCACCAAAGCTGGCGGCACCCGACCCCCCGGCCGGGGCCGGAGAGGGGCTGACTGGGTTGGTTTTGATCTGATAAATGCATGCATCTTCCCCGTGAAGGGGGTCAGTGCCCTTCGGCATGTAATAGCTCTAGAATTACCACAGTTTTCCAAGTAGAAGAGGAGCCAGCGACCAAAAGAACCATAACTGATTTAATGAGCCATTCACAGTTTTACTGTACCGGCCCTGCATACTTAGACATGTATGGCTTAATCTTTGAGACAAGCATATGGTTCTGATAGAATCAACCAGGTAGGTAGAAAGCGGCCTCTGGGACTCGCGAGGATGAGCCCGGCGTCCCAGTTGCGAGATTGGGCGTGGCAGGGCGGGCGATGGGGCGTGGGGTAGGGAGGGAGGAGCTCCGGGTGGTGGGAGGGGGGTGGTGGGGCGGCGAACCGGACATCCCATCCACCCACAGGACACAACACCCCCCGACGGGCTCACCACTCCCGACCCTTCGTGCCCATGTGCGAGGAGGCCAACCGCCCGACCCGTGTGCGGCAGCCGTGAGGGACCAGCGGCCACTCATGCGCGGAGGGCGCTGGGCGGCCCCGACGTTTGGGCAGCGAACGAGAGGCGGACCGCGGTGCCTGGGGTCTCACAGCCAGTGGCCTCCGAGCATGAAGGCGGCCCCGAGCGGCACCTGGAGTGGCCGACTGGCCTTCCGCGGGCCTGCGGCTCCCCCACCACCGCCACTGTCGAGGCCAGCCCCCTGAACCCTCTTCCCTGCACGCACTGCTGGCCAACCCCAAACCTTCCGGGTGCCCACCAGGCCCACTCGGGGTGCCGCCGACCTGGTCCCGAAGGCGCACGCCCGGGGACATGGACAATGGGCCAACCAGTGGCCGGCGGCAGCGCCACACAAGGCGGAGCCGGGTTTGGTCCCAGACGGGGCCACCACAGCCTAAGCCGGTGAGCTGCTCGGGGAGAGAGGATACGCGGGCGGGGAGGGGGGCACAGGGACCATGAGGGCAAGGGCACCTGGAAGCCCGCAGAGGGGCGGCTCGGGGAGAAACCTCAGGCATGGCCGGGCCACCAGGAAAACACGGCCACGGGATCCCACCACCACAGACACGAGGGAGGTCCCGCAGTGACCCGCCTAGGATGCCGGATGGCCCTCGGCACCCACCAAGACCCGCCTCATGAGCCCCGGGTCCCGCCATCAGGACCCCGAGGCGACCTCAGCCACAAACCCAACGCCAGGGCCACGTTGCTCGTTTCTCATCCATCCTCCAACCCGGTCAAGCTCCAGGAGACCGACATGCCCCCCACTTGGGATGCTTCCCAGGGCCAGGTGGCCCAACCTCGTGCCACGCAAACGCGGTCGTCGGCACCGGTCGCTGCTCTGCAGGGGAGCGGGCAGAGAGCCGGCTCACAGCGGAATGGGTCACAAGCTGGACTGAACGCCAGGCACAGCCACCGCTCACGCAGCCTCCCAAATGCTAGGACGCCGGCCCGGCCCGGCCCGGCGGGATCCTCCCCCGACTCGGAAGGGGGAGGCGCGGGCCACACAGTAGGCGACGAGCTTCCCTGGGTCCCCACCGTGGAGGCTGGCGGAACCCTTGCTCTCCCCCCCTCACCCCATCAAGGGGGCAGTGGAGGAGGGTCCTCTGCAAGCCAGTCGCCACGGCAGCGCTACCATAACGCAGAGAGAGGCGGCAGGCCGGGGGATCCGGTACCCCAAAGGCACACCTCTCAGATCGCTAGAGAAGGCTTTCTCACTGAGGGTGAGTCACAGTTCCCACATGCCAGTCGCCCCTCGTCGGGCCCGCAGAGGCGCACAGGGACGCCTGGGGAAGGGAGGGGGCCTGCTGTACCAGGAAAAATCTGCGTGCGGCAACCTTGAGCCTTCGCGGTCTGGGCAGGGGGCCTGGCCGCTGCACGTGTGCGCAATCCCACAAGGGCCCCCCCGTCGACCAGCCTCCTTTCTCCCAGGCAAAGCACCTCCAAGTAAACCCACACACAACCTGTCGGAGGCAGAACGGTAGCCCCTCGGCTGCCGGACGGCGCACGCGTCATCTGACCCAGCCCACCGCAATAGCTCACACGGCCCGCGCGCACCCGCCAGAGAGGAGCACGGGCCCTGCGCTCGCCAGATCAGGCAGCACTCTTCCCCGCGTGGGAGGAGCGCGTCTCACTCAACCGCCTCAACCCCTACACCAACGAGCTCCCTCAGGACCCACTCGTGGACATCGCGGCGGTGACCGGAGGAGGGGGCGCTGAGGGTGGGAACCACACACCACCGCTCGACCTCGGGCACCTGAGGGATAAGCTGGGGGATGAAGGGGAGGAGCCGGGCTTGGTAGGCTCACGCCTGTCATCCCTGCACTTTGGGAGGCAAGGGAAGGTGGATCCCTCGATCCAAGCCTTGGCAACATGGTGAAACCTCTTCTCTAAAAAAATACGAAAACTAACTGGTTTCATAAACTGGACTCAAAGTTAATAAATAGATAAGTAGGCCGGGAGCTGTGGCTTACGCCTGTAATCCCAGCACTTTGAGAGGCCGAGGCAGGCGGATCACGACGGTCAGGAGATCGAGACCATCCTGGCTACCACAGTGAAACCCTGTCTCTACTCAAAATACCAAAAATTAGCCAGGCGCTGTGGCAGATGCCAGTAGTCCCAGCTACTTGGGAGGCTGAGACAGGAGAATGGCATGAACCCGGGAGGCAGAGCTTGCAGTGAGCCGACATCATGCCACTGCACTCCAGTCTGGGCAACAGAGTGAGACTCCATCTCAAAAAAGAAATAATAATAATAGATTAAAATTGAAAATTTATAAAAAACGTAGCTGGCAGGGCTCAAATGTTCACGCCTGTCATCCCAGCACTTTGGGAGGCCGAGGTGGGCAGATCACCTGAGGTGGCCAGTTTGAGACCCGCCTGACCCACATGGAGAAATGCCGTCTCTACTAACAATACAAAATCAGCCGGGTGTGGTGACACATGCCTGTAATCCCAGCTACTCAGGAGGCTGAGGCAGGAGAATCGCTTGAACACGGGAGGTGGAGGTTGCGGTGAGCCGAGATGGTGCCATTGCACTCCAGCATGGGCAACAACAGTGAAACTCCGTCTCAAAAAAAAAAAAAAAAAATTAAGCACTTTATTCTGTTATTTTTACTTCCTACCCAGAGAAGAATATAATACAACTGTTGTCTGTCTGCCTGCCTGCCTGCCTGCCTGTGACAGGGCCTCACTCTGTCTTTCTCCCAGACTGGAGTGCAGTGACACCATTATGGCTCACTCACTGCAGCCTCAACCTCCCCAGGGTTAGGCGATTCCTCAAGGGATCCTATGGCCTCGGCCTCCCAAAGTGTTGGGGTTACAGGCGTGAGACACCAGCACCCGACCTGAGTTAATACATCTGGTCTCACTATGTCTTAACCACACACCCATGAAGAACTCAAGTCAAGAGAGAGTTTGTAAGAGACTCTCAGCATTCTCTCCCGAAAGCAGTGAGGTGGATGGCAGCCATGTGTCCCGAGCTCCTGTGGTTTTAGGTGGCCGTGCGTAGAGGAGAGATTTCCAATGTTTCCAGAGATGCGCGAGCCACAGTCATTCGGGGCATCCGAGCGCGAGATGAGGTTTCTGACAGCGACTTAAGGGCCAGAAGGGCCAGAATCTGCCAAGGCAAGTGTCCCAGGGTGGGGCCGATGGAACCCAAGGTAGAGGGAGTCAGCAGTCCACACAGAGAGAGCTCCAGCCTTAGGACCCACTGTGCAGACCGAATCAGAATGAAGAGAGTCCTTCGTCCTATATGCCACATCCCTCCACTGAACTTAAGAGTGGATCTGTTTTCCAAACATGAGGTGACTCTCACTTTGCCATGGATCACAAGGGGTTGGGCTTTCCAGAGTCGGCAGGCTAAAGAAGTCATTCTGGCTCAGCCTCCCCCATCCCCTGGTAACTGGTGAGTTTATTTATTATTTTTATTTTTATTATTATTATACTTTAAGTTTTAGGGTACCTGTGCACAATGTGCAGGTTAGTTACATATGTATACATGTGCCATGCTGGTGTACTGCACCCACTAACTCATCATCTAGCATTAGGTATATCTCCTAATGCTATCCCTCCTACCTTCCCCCACCCCACAACAGTCCCCAGAGTGTGATGTGCCCCTTCCTGTGTCCATGTGTTCTCATTGTTCAATTCCCACCTATGAGTGAGAATATGCAATGTTTGGTTTTTTATTCTTGCGATAGTTTACTGAGAATGATGATTTCCAGTTTCATCCATGTCCCTACAAAGTACATGAACTCATCATTTTTTATGGCTGCATAGTATTCCATAGTGTATATGTGCCACAATTTCTTAATTGAGTCTATCATTGTTGGACATTTGGGTTGGTTCCAAGTCTTTGCTATTGTGAATAATGCCGCAATAAACATACGTGTGCATAAGTCTTTATAGCAGCATGATTTATAGTCCTTTGGGTATATACCCAGTAATGGGATGGCTGGGTCAAATCGTATTTCTAGTTCTAGATTCCTTTGCCATCCCCATCAAGCTACCAATGACTTTCTTCACAGAATTGGAAAAAACTACTTTAAAGTTCATATGGAACCAAAAAAGATCCTGCATCGCCAAGTCAATCCTAAGCCAAAAGAACAAAGCTGGAGGCATCACACTACCTGACTTCAAACTATACTACAAGGCTACAGTAACCAAAACAGCATGGTACTGGTACCAAAGCAGAGATATAGATCAATGGAACAGAACAGAGCCCTCAGAAATAATGCCGCATATCTACAACTATCTGATCTTTGACAAACCTGAGAAAAACAAGCAATGGGGAAAGGATTCCCTATTTAATAAATGGTGCTGGGAAAACTGGCTAGCCATATGTAGAAAGCTGAAACTGGATCCCTTCCTTACACCTTATACAAAAATCAATTCAAGATGGATTAAAGACCTAAATGTTAGACCTAAAACTATGAAAATACTAGAAGAAAACCTAGGCATTACCATTCAGGACATAGGCATGGGCAAGGACTTCATGTCTAAAACACCAAAAGCAATGGCAACGAAAGCCAAATTTGACAAATGGGATCTAATTAAACTAAAGAGCTTCTGCACAACAAAAGAAACTACCATCAGAGTGGACAGGCAACCTACAAAACTGGTGAGTTTAAATGAGCTAAGGCTGGCAAGGCCAGAGCTGCTACGGGGGGGAGGGGGGTGGGCGGGGTGGGGGGGTGCCTGAGGCACTGCAGAAAGTGGGTCTGAGCCTCGAGGATGACGGTGCTGCAGGAACCCGTCCAGGCTGCTATATGGCAAGCACTAAACCACTATGCTTACCGAGATGGGGTTTTCCTCGCAGAATGCCTTTATGCAGAAGTACACTCAGAAGAAGCCTTGTTTTTACAGGCGACCTGTTCTTACCGCCCAGAAAAGGCCTATAAAGCATATAGACTCTTGGAAGGACACAGTTGTCCTACACCGCAATGCAAATACCTGCTTGCAAAATGTTGTGTTGATCTTAGCAAGCTTGCAGAAGGGGAACAAATCTTATCTGGTGGAGTGTTTCATAAGCAGAAAAGCCATGATGATATTGTTACTGAGTTTGGTGATTGAGCTTGCTTTCCCCTTCCATTGTTGGGACATGTATATTGCAAGACAGATTGGCTTGCCAAAGGATCAGAATGTTACCAAAAGAGCCTTAGTTGAAATCCTTTCCTCTGGTATCCCTTCGAATCATTATGTGAAATAGGTGAAAAGCCAGATCCTGCCCCCAAACATTTAAATTCACAACTTCACAGAACTTTAGCAACTGTCTGCCCAACTCTTGCACAGCACAAATACCTAATCATAGTTTATGTCACAGACAGCCTGAGACTGTTCTCACGGAAACACCACAGGACACAACTGAATTAAACAGATTGAATTTAGAATCTTCCAATTCAAAGTACTCCTTGAATACAGATTCCCAAGTGTCTTCTATTGATTCAGCTGTAATTTCACCTGACACTCTCCCACTGGGAACAGGAACTTCCATATTTTCTAAACAGGTTCAAAATAAACCAAAAACTGGTCAAAGTTTATTAGGAGAACTAGCAGCTCTTAGTCCATTAACCCCAAGTTTTGGGATTTTGCCATTAGAAACCCCAAGTCCTGGAGATGGATCCTATTTACAAAACTACACTAATACACCTTCTGAAATTGATGTGCCATCCACCGGATCCCCTTCAAAAAAGTCTGTTGCCAGAATCGGCCAAACTGGAGCAAAGTCTGTCTTCTCACAGAGTGGAAATAGCCGAGAGGTAACTCCAATTCTTGCACAAACACAAAGTTCTCGTCCACAAATAAGTACATCACCTCAGGTATTGAGCCCCACTATGGCATCTCCCCCAAATGTGCTGCATTGAAGAAGTTCACGACTCTTTACCAGTGACAGTTCCACAACCAGGGAGAATAGGAAGAAATTAAAAATGAAGTTTCCACCTAAAATCCCAAACAGGAAAACAAAAAGTAAAACTAATAAAGGAGGAATAACTCAACCTAACATAAATGATAGCCTGGAAATTACAAAATTGGACTCTTTCATCATTTCACAAGAGAAAATATCCACAATCACACCTCAGATTCAGGCTTTTAATCATAAAAAGCAGCAGCAGAAGGCTTGATGAGCCTTCTTCGTGAAAGGGGAAAAGGTTATTTAGCTTTGTGTTCATACCACTGCAAAGAAGCTATAAATATTTTGAGCCATCTACCTTCTCACCACTACAATACTGGTTGGGTACTGTGCCAAATTGGAAGGGTCTATTTTGAACTTCCAGAGTACATGCAAGCTGAAAGAATATTCTCAGAGGTTTGAAGGATGGAGAATTATAGAGTCGAAGGCATGGAAATCTACTCTACAACATTTTGGCATCTTCAAAAAGATGGTGCTCTTTCAGTTCTGTCAAAAGACTTAACAGACATGGATAAAAATCCTCCAGAGCCCTGGTGTGCTGCAGGGAACTGTTTCAGTCTGCAATGGGAACACGATATTGCAATTAAATTCTTCCAGAGAGCTATCCAGGTGGATCCAAATTATGCTTATGCCTATACTCTATTAGGGCGAGAGTTTGTCTTAACTGAAGAATTGGACAAAGCATTAGCTTGTTTTTGAAATGCTATCAGAGTCAATCCTAGACATTGTAATGCACAGTAAGTGGTAATGAAGTGTAAAGACAAAGTCTTGTAGATGGTGCTGGTAGTCACTAATTTTTCTTGTTAGATAGCTCTTTTATTGTCATGAATTTGGTTACTAATATTTAGGGATGGTACATACTGGTCAATAACTTCAAACTAACATGTTTTCTTAGGAAATGTATGTCTTTAACAAAATCTTCAGTTAACTAATGATAATAGAATACCAGATCCTTATACTGAACAGTTTCAGTCTTCTACCAAACTTTTGCAGATACTGTAATTGTGTTTTATTTGTTTGTATGCTTGTTTAGTTTTGTTACTTGATTTGTTACTTTTTCTTCGAACAGAGAAATGGTGATTGGGACAAAAAGTGCTTGGGAAATTGGAAAGGAATAGCATAATTCACTTATTGGATAATAGAAAAAAACACTGAAAAAATTCACTAGTTGTTGCTTTTTGAAAGTGTTCCAGTTTATTGAGTTACTATTAAGAACTTAGTATACCCTTTTATTTAGCAGTATCTCTGTTTTCCTTTTTTTACTTCTGTATAAGTAGATACATAGGAAATTACTATCCAGGTCATATTGTTATCAACTGAATAACATACGAAAAAGTTTGGTCCTACATCTGCCTCAACACCATAATTACTGTTGACATTTATTGTATTTTTCTGGACTGACTTAAAAGTTTAAATATCAAGAGAAGGCCAGGCAAGGTGGCTCATGCCTGTCATCCTAGCACTTTGGGAGGTCAAGTCGGGCGGATCACGAGGTCAAGAGATCGAGACCATCCTGTCCAACATGGTGAAACCCCGTCTCTATTAAAAGTATAAAAATTAGCTGGGCATGGTGGCGGGCACATGTAGTCCCACCTACTCAGGAGGCTGAGGCAGGAGGATCGCTTGAACCCGGGAAGTGGAGGTTGCAGTGAGCCAAGATTAAGCCATTGCACTCCAGCCTGTGTGACAGAGCAAAACGCCGTCTCAAGAAAAAAATAAAATAAAATAAATAAATTAATAAATAAATATCAAGAGAAAGTATAATTCTGAAGTCATAACTCTGTGGAAGCTTTTTTGTCAAATACGATTATCTTTGGGGGTAATTTTTATAGCAGTCGAGTTTTAACACTTGATTTGCTTCTAAATCTGAAGCATTACATTACTAAAACATTTTTTGATTTGTGACTATATTGTTTAATGGATTATATCTCATTTTGCGGTAGTAGTTGCAGTGTCTGAAAGATTGCCAAAAAAATAGTGCTAGTTTTGCTGACAAATGTAACAATCAACTTACCAAGACTGCCTTCTCTTCCGATAGCTATGTTCTCCATAATACTTTAAGAACTCAGTTCTTCATAAGACTTGTGTTGTTTTTGCTTTTTTCCCAAGTCTGGTTGAACCGTGTGTTGTTCTTTTTTAAAAGTGTATTGTCTGTTCAGCTATTCTGCAGGAGTCGCATTCTTAAAAACCTTAACCATATCAAAAATTGTGTTTAAAGGAGGATTATTCAGATTGGCCAACTTTTACTAGGAGGAGTTTAAATGCTGACATATTTAGGTAACTCTAAATACTGAGCAACTTTATTCTAACTACAAAATAGATAGCCTTTCTTTTGTTTTCACTTTCACTATCATTAGCACCGTGTTTAATACCTTTTCTTCATCTATAACACAATTATAACCATATATAAAGCCACTCAAATAAAGCAGATATATTGAGCTTTAAAAAAAATAAGAAAGAAAAAAAAAGAAGTCATTATGTGGCACACAATGAGGTGTGACTCGAATCTGGAATCTCCAGTGAAAACCAATGAAACAGGGTCAAACCCCGTGTGTACTAAAAATTTAAAAATGAGCCTGGCTTGGTGGCACTGAGGCAGGAGAATCACTCGAACCCAGGAGGCAGAGGTTGCAGTGAGTTGAGATCACGCCACTGTACTCCAGCCGTGGGGGACAGAGCAAGACTCCATCTCAGAAACAAACAAACACACAAAGCCAATAAAGGTATTTCACTCAACGTGTCAGGCTCAGGTCTCTTGACAGGATACATCCAGCACCCAGGCAAACGTCGAGGGGTGGGGTGGAATCTATTTTGTGGCCTCAAGGAAGGGTTTGAGAGATAGTCCCGCAAACGTGACGGCCTAAGGAAGCCCCTCCGCCCAAGAAGCGATATTCATTTGTGTCCTGTAGCCACCCACGAGGGAGAATCGGGCTCTCTACAGACACCCCAACCCTCACCCCACCCCACCCACCCCGCCTCATGAAAAGAGCTCTTGCTCCGTCAGGCTCTATTCACGCCCTGTGGTTTTGTAACCTCCAGTGTGTATGCGTGGGTTGCGGGGTGGGGTGGGAGCGGCTCTAGACAGAGGAGGGGATAAAGCGGCAGTGTTCCGAGGGTTCCAGGGACGTGGGACGTGAGTGGGGTGGCCAGAGCCTAGTTAACTCATCGCCTGTCAGGACATCTCACCTCCTGGTCCCCTCTCTGACCTATGCTCCACATCTTCGCAGTTCAGTGGGGACCTTGTGGGTGGAAGTCGCAATCCCTTTCTACTTTAGCCTACGAAGGCCGGGCTCCCAAGAGTCTCCCTGGAGTCGGGGCCTTGGGCAGGCTCACAAGGATGCTGACGGTGACGGTTGGTGACGGTGATGTAAGTTGGAGGCCTCGGGCCAATGCAGAGGTATCCATTTGACCTCGGTGGGACAGGTCAGCTTTGCAGAGTCCCATGCGTCCTTCCAGAGACTCATCCAACGATAGCAAGCATGGTCCCGAGGATCCCAGCTCCCAGCAGAGGCACTTTTGTTCACACAGAATCCTGGGCAGGAAAGTTCTCAGCAGGTTTAGGCCTCCTAGACAAAAAGTCAAAGCCACTTCTGGGATTTTTTTTTCAAAGAGCCAGTGGTTCCACAAGGGGCCATGGGTAGTTGTGGAAATGGAGAGACGTGTTTGCAGATACATATTTGAGACAAAACGGACAGGGCTCGGTCACAGTTCATGTAGAACACGAGCAGATGCACATTAAGAAAACCCTCCCAGTATCCTAGGTGAACAGAGGTATGATTTTTTGAGACAGTCGAGGGAGACGCAACGCCAGATTTTATGGTTGGATCTTTATTAATATGTAGTATCTATGAGGTATCCAAGTCCAGAAATCAACTCGCCAGTTCTGTACAGCACTCTGTAGGGAGATCAAATCTGGGATGTCTAAAGTTAAGAATTCAGGTCGTGGTAATGGACTAGATTAGATGTACTTGAACATATTTTGCAAAGAAAGAGAGGGCGGGAGATAGCGAGAGCCAGAGAGCGGGCGAGAGAGAGAGAGAGAGAGAGAGAGAGAGAGAGAAAGACAGAGACAGAGAGAGACAGACAGAGAGACACAAAGATACACAAAGAGAGAAAGACAGAAAGAGAGAGACAGACAGATAAAGACACAGACAGAGAAAGACAGAGATGGACAGAGACAGAGAGAAACAGAAAGAGACAGAGACAGAAAGAGAGAGAGACAGACAGACAGGCAGGCAGACAGTCAGAGAAAGAGAGTAAGACAGAAGGCAGAAACACACACACACACAGAGACAGAGACAGATGGACAGACAAAGAGAAAGAAAGAGAGAGACAGACAGAGAGAAAGAGACAGAGAGAGAAAGACAGAGACAGACAGAGGGAGACAGAGAGAAACAGAGACAGAGAGAGAGAGAAACAGGCAAGGAGAGAGAGAGACAGACAGACAGGCAGAGAAAGACAGTAAGACAGAAGACAGACACAGAGAGAGACAGGCGGAGAGTGACAGACAGAGAGACAGAGACAGAGAAACAGACAGGCAAAGAGAGAGAGAGAAAAAAACAGACAGACAGGGAAAGAGAGAGAGACCTACAGGCAGACAGACAGGCAGAGAGAGAGACAGAGACAGCGAGACAGAGAAAGAGGGAGACAGACAGACAAAGAGACAGACAGAGAAAGACAGAGACGGACAGAGAGAGACAGAGAGAAACAAATAGAGAGAGACAGAGAGAGAGAGAAAGAGAGAGAGAGACAGACCGGCAGAGAAAGAGTAAGACAGAAGACAGACACAGTGAGAGAGACAGGCAGAGAGAGAGACACACAGAGACAGAGAGACAGAGAAAGAAAGAGAGAGACAGACAGAGAGACAGACAGAGAAAGACAGAGATGGACAGAGAGAAACAGAAAAAGAGACAGAGAAAGAGACAGAGACAGAGAGAAACAGACAGGGAGAGAGAGAGAGACAGACAGACAGAGAAAGGGAGTAAGAGAGAAGACAGACACAGTGAGAGAGGCAGGCAGAGAGACAGAGAGAGAGAAATAGACAGGCAAAGAGAGAGAGACAGAGAAAGAGAGAAAACGGATAAAGAGAGAGAGACAGAGAGAGGAGGAGGAAGGGCATGCTCAGGAAATAATTACACATATTTTATAAGGCTTTTGATCCCATAAACGGTGGCCGGGGTGTGCTTTGAAAACAACAACAACAACAGCAGCAAGAGCAGCAGCAGCAGCAAGAGCAGCAGCAGCAATCGCTTACGGATTTCTAGAACATAAGATGTTCTGAAGTCTAGTAAACATCAACCGGCTCTCACTATACGTTCAGAGATTCACAAAATCGTTAGTTAACAACAGGTGAAAACCGCAGCTAACATGTCTTGGGGAAAATATACGTCTTCCTGAAAACTGGGGATTTCTATTTCATCTAAAAAGAAATACATAAGAAAAACGAAAAACACGAACAAAACAAAACAAGCCAACAAACACAGGCCAAGGCACTGTCCCTGGAAATCTTAAGTGAGCAAAGTATTAGTTTTCAGAAAGCATTTCTATTTTGGGCAAATACTAATAAGGCCCAGACTAGAGCTGTGACGTCATTCCCACTGTGAAACTATGCTGGCCCGAGGGCGGAGAAACTAAAACATCATGATAAAAGGTGATAGAGACCCAGCCAGGGTGAAGCTTTCCTAGGGAGGGAGGCCTGAAGAGGGAAGCATGGGAAAAAACCCACAACTGAAGACACGCCCGCTTACCCAGGCGGGTCAAGGGCTATGCCATCGGCCCAAGCTGCCTCTGGGGAAGTGGGACCGGGCCACCCCCATCTTCAAAAACGGTGGCCACTGAGTGAGGCCTGAAGCCCACCGATGCAAATGTCAGCCTGGCAAGAATGAGATCGCCGGCAAGGGGTGGGGGAAGGGGAGAGAAGACGGAGGCACACCGGGGTGGCTCCGGAAGGTTTCCAAGCAGGGTGTTGGGAGGCGGGGGGTGGGGAGTTTGGGTGGAACCCACCTAACTGACTCACTAAATGAAGGTAAAGGGACGTGGGTAGTGGGGGGAGCCGGGGCGGGACTTGAAAATTAAACTGACCCCTCCTAAAACCCAAGTAGAAGAGTCTATGCGCATGAAAGAAACCAAAACAGAAAGAAAACTAAAGCGCTGATCAAAGAACAATAGGGCCCCCTGCAGGGCGGAGGTTCCCTAGGCAACGAGGGAGAGAGGGAGGGGTCTCCAGAAGGGAGAGACAGAAACCGGTTGCCCCAGGTTCGGTGAAGTCGGCCAGACCTCTCCCCGTGTCACCTCGACTTTCAATAACAGTGGCTGCTAGGTGATGCCCAAAGACAACCGATGCCTGCAAGTGTCAGTCAGCAGGGAAAAGAATGCATTTATTTATTTATTTATTTATTTATTTAGAGACAGAGTCTCACTCAATCTACAGCCCAGGCTGTAGTGCAGTGGCGCGATCTCGGCTCCCTGCATGCTCCGCCACCCAGGTTCAAGCGATTCTCCTGCCTCAGCCTCCCGAGTAGCTGGCATTACAGGCGCCTGCCCCACCGCGCCCGACTCAATTTAGTATTTTTAGTAGAGATGCGTTTTCGCAGTGTTGGCAAGGCTGGTCTCAAACTCCCAACCTCAGGTGATCCACCCGTCTCGGCCTCCCAAACTGCTGGGATGACAGACGTGAGCCACCGCGCCCGGCCTTAACCATGTATTTTTAAGTCGAGGAGCTTATCAGGGAAATACGAGAAGTAGGGACGCCACACGTGACAGAGAGAAACGTTTGAAAATGCCCCTTCCATCCAAGTGGGGACCCGGCCTTGACCTCCCGAAATCATACACCGAGTGGCGAAGCCTAGCAAGGCCCGTCTGTCTAGATTCCTCTCGGCCTCTCTAAGCAGGCGCTTCTCACTTTCGTGGAAGGGGCAGGGCCCTCCCCGGCAAAGGGGCTCTGACAGACTGACAGAGAAAGAGACAGACATAGAAAGACAGAGATGGACAGAGAGAGACAGAGAGAAACAGACAGACAGGCAGGGAGAGAGACAGAGAGAGAGAGAGACAGATAGGGAGAAACAAACAGAAAGAGAGAGAGAGACAGAGAGAGAAACAGACAGACACACAGAGACAGACAGAGAGAGACAGAGAGAAACAGAAAGAGAGAGAGATGGAGAGAGAGAGAAAGGGAGGGAGAGAGAGAGACAGACAGACAGGCAGAGAAAGAGAGTAAGACAGAAGACAGACACAGTGAGAGAGACAGGCAGAGAAAGAGAGAGACAGAGAAAGAAAGAGAGACAGAGATGGACAGAGAGAAACAGAAAGAGAGAGACAGAGACAGAGAAAGAGAGAGAAACAGACAGACAGGGAGGGAGAGAGACAGAGAGAGAGAGACAGACAGACAGAGAGACAGAGAAAGACGGAGACAGACAGAGAGAAACAGACAGAGAGAGAGATGGAGAGAGTGAGAGATAGAGAGGGAGAGAGAAACAAAGAGAGGGGGAGAGAGAGACAAACAGACAGGCAGAGAAGGAGAGTAAGACAGAAGACAGACACAGTGAGAGAAACAGGCAGATAGAGACAGAGACAGAGACAGAGAGAAAGAGAGAGACAGACAGAGAAAGAGACAGACAGAGACAGACAGAGAGAAACAGCAAGAGAGAGAGAGAGACAGAGGGAGAGAAACAGACAGGGAGAGAGAGAGACAGAGAGAGAGAGACAGACAGAGAGGCAGAGAAAGAGAGTAAGACAGAAGATAGGCACAGAGAGAGAGAGAAAGAGAGAGAGAGAAAGAGAGAGAAAGAAAGAGAGAGACAGTCCAGGCACAGTGGCTCACTCCTGCCATCCCAGCACTTTGGGAGGCCAAGGCGGGCGGATCACGAGGTCAGGAGATCAAGACCATCCTGGTTAACACGGTGAAATCCCGTCTGTACTAAAAATACAAAAAATTAGCCGGGTTTGGTGGCGGGCGCCTATAGTCCCAGCTACTCAGGAGGCTGAGGCAGGAGAATGGCGTGAACCTCGGTGGTGAAGCTTGCAGTGAGCCAAGATGGCACCACTGCACTCCAGCCTGGGTGACACAGTGAGACTCCATCTTGAAAAAAAAAAAGAAAGAGAGAGACAGACAGACAGAGGAGGAGACAGACAGAGACAGACAGAGAGAAACAGACAGAGAGAGAGACAGAGAGAGAGAGAAACAGAAAGGCAGGGAGGGAGAGAGAGACAGGCAGAGGAAGAGAATAAGACAGAAGACAGACACAGTGAGAGAGACAGGCAGAGAGAGACGGACAGAGACAGAGAGAAAGAGAGAGACAGACAGAGATGGAGAGAGAGACAGAGAGAAACAAACAGAAAGAGAGAGAGACAGAGAGAGAATGAGAGAGAGAGAGAGACAGAAAGGGAGGGAGAGGGACAGACAGAGAGAGAGACAGATGGGTAGAGAAAGAGAATAAGACAGAAGATAGGCACAGAGAGACAGACAGAGAGAGAGAGTGAGA
The DNA here is from genome assembly GCF_000001405.40 of Homo sapiens. Taxonomy (NCBI): domain Eukaryota; kingdom Metazoa; phylum Chordata; class Mammalia; order Primates; family Hominidae; genus Homo; species Homo sapiens. The sequence continues at coordinate 11,267,488 of NC_000022.11, forward strand.
GAGACAGACAGAGAGACTCAGAAAAAGAAATACAGAGACAGGCAGAGAGACAGAGAAAAACAGAGACAGACAGAGACAGAGAAAAACAGAGACAGACAGAGAGAGACAGAGAGAAACAGACAGAAAGAGAGAGACACAGAGAGAGACAGAAACAGAGAGGGAGGGAGAGAGAGAGACAGACAGGCAGAGAAAGAGAGAAGACAGACACTGTGAGACAGACAGAGAGAGAGAGACAGAGACAGAGAGAAAGAAAGAGACAGACAGACAGACAGACAGAGAAAGAGACAGATAGAGAAAGACAGAGATGGACAGAGAGAGACAAAGAGAAACAGACAGAAAGAGGGAAGGTCCTAGCCCAGTAGCGATACAGCGACTTTTCTTTCATTTTCTTTCTTTTCTGGTTTTCTTTTCTTTTTTCTTTTCTTTTCTTTCTTTCATTTATTTATTTATTTATTTGGAGACCAAGTCTCACTCTGTCGCCCAGGCTGTAGTGCAGTGGCGCCATCCTGGGTCACTGAAACCTCCGCCTGCGAGGTTCAAGCGATTCTCCCGCCTCAACCTCCCGAGTAGCTGGGATTACAGGTGCCTGCCCCACTGCACCCGACTCAGTTTCGTATTTTCAGTAGAGACGGGGTTTCACCATGTTGGCTAGGCTGGTCTTGAACTCCTGACTTCGTGAACCACCCACCTCGGCCTCCCAAAGTGCTGGAATGACAAACGTGGGCCACTGCGTTCAGTGTACAGTGCCATTTCTTAGAAATCACTCATGGGAATGCACACTTATAGGTCATGTGTAGAGATTTTATTTATTTATTTGTTTGTTTGTTTATTTATTTATTATTTATTTATCTATTTGCACGGGAAGGTGGGGGGACGGAGTTTCGCTCTTGCTGCCCAGGCTAGAGTACAATGGCATAGGGGACTCAAGGAGTTAACCTATGGCAGAGACGACACATCATTCTGAGTGTAAGGGCCGCAGCGAAAAGTGTCATGGCTCGTGCTTTTAAAGGCTGAAATCCCGGCGGCTCAGGCCTGTCATCCCAGCACTTTGGGAGGCCCAGGAAGGTGGATCACTTGAGGTCAGGAGTTCAATACCAACGTGGCCAACATGGAGCAACCCCGTCTCTACTAAAAATAGAAATATTAGCCGGCTGTCGTTGTGCACGCCTGTAATCCCAGCTACCGAAGAAGAATCACTGGAACCCGGGAAGCAGAGGTTTCAGTGAGCCGAGAGAGCGCCACTTCACCGCAGCCTGGGTGACAGAGCGAGAGAGACTCAGTCCAAAAAAAAGAAAAGAAGAAAAAAAAAAAAAAGAACAGGCCCAAATACTGCATTGTAGCTGAATGTTCCCCCAAAAGGCCGGAAACCCCCTGACTCAGGTCCAGGAGGTGCTGTTTCCTTTCACTTCTCTCTCTCTCTCTCTCTTTCCCTCTCTCTCTTTCCCTCTCTCTCTCTCTTTCCCTCTCTCTCTCTTTCTCCCCTAACTTTCATTTCTTGTTCAAACATACATGTGCAAGATTGTTACATAGGTAAACTTCTGACGGGGGGGTTTCAGTGTGCAGATGATTTCATCAGCCGGATACTCAGCGCAGTACTCGACAGTTTTCATGTTTTGTTGTGTTTTGTTTTTTCCTGAAGCTGTCTTTCCTTCCACCCCTCCTCCCTCAAGTAGGCTCCCGCTTCTCTGGTCCTCCTCGTTCTGCCCACGCAGAACTCTCATCTATAAGTTCCCACTTATGGATGAGAACACGTGGTATTTAGCTGATTGTTGCTTTCATCTTCGGCGGTGGCGGTGAAAGAGGCATGACACTAAATCGACCCTTAGGACGCTCCCCTCCGTCCCCACCCCACACCACCTCCCCGCACACACCCTCATTCCTGCATCCCCTCCTCAAACGCAGGAAAGGAAGAAAGACAAATTAAAGTAAGAGGTCAGCCTCCAAGGCGATGGAGTCAGGGGATCTCAAAGGGTGAGCAAGCGATGGGGGTCGGGGGATGTCTTGGCTGAGCTTTCAACAATAGGGGACCGAGTTTCCAGCCCCACCCACACCCCCTAATCCTCAGCCGCAGCCAGCCTCTGGGTGGGGTTGCGCCTGTAAAACTTCTGAATGGAGAGAAGCCCAAGGCGATGGAAAGCATCAGCTCCAACTCCAGGAAGGAAATAGGGCTTTGTGCATTTGAATGGGGCTTTAGAAGGCCGCGCTGCGGCTTCCAAAGTGATGCACCTCGCCTAGCCTCACCTCGCCTCGCCTCACCTCGCCTCGCCTCCCCTCGCCTTGCCTCGACCAGAGCGAGACTCCGTCTCAAAATCAATCAATCAATCAATCAATCAATAATAAAAAAATTCATCAATGAAAGAAAGAAAGAAAGAAAGAAAGAAAGAAGAAAGAAAGAATTAGTACAGCGGTCATGTTCGTGAATCATTCCCCGGAGTCCAGGCGCAGTGGCTCACGCCCTTCACGCCAGCACTTTGAGACGCCGGGTCAGGAGGGTTGCAACAAAATGATGAGACCCTGTCTGTGGAAAAACATTTAAAAATGAAGGCCAGGAGCAGTGGCTCACGTCTGCCATCCTGGCACTTTGGGAGGCCGAGGAGAGCAGATCACCTGAGGTCGGGAGTTCGAGACCAGCCTGACCAACATGGAGAAGCCCCGTCTCTACTAACAATACAAAATCAGCCAGATGTGGTGGCGCATGCCTGCAAACCCAGCTACTCGGGAGGCTGACGCAGGAGAATCGCTTGAACCCAGGAGGCAGAGGCTGCAGTGGGCCAAGATCGCGCCATTGCACTCCAGTCTGGGCAACAAGAACGAAACTCTGTCTCGGGAAAATAAATAAATAAATACATAAAAATGATCTGGGCACAGTGGCACATGCCTGTGGTCCCAGGTACTCTACTCTGGAGGCTGAGGTGGAAGGATCACTTGAGTCCAGGAGCTTCCACACTGCAGTGAGTGAGTTATGATGGCACCACTGCCAGGGTGACAGAGCGAGACGCTGTCTCTAAATCAGTCAATCAATCAATCAGATCACTAGAAGGCGCTGTATGTGTCTTACTTTCAAAGGGTCTCTCTTTAGGCCAAGCAGGCGTGGTGCCTCACGCCAGTAATCCCAGCACTTTGGGAGGCCGAGGCGGGAGGAAAGAAGGAAGGGAGGAAGAGAGGAAGGGAGAAAATAAGAAAGGCAGGAAGTCAGTCAGGCAGGAAAGAAAGAAAAAAATAAAGAAAGAAAGAAAGAAAGGGAAAGAAAGAAAGAAGAGAAAGAAAGAAAGAGAGAAAGAAAGAAAGAGAGTGAGAGAAAGAAAGAAGAAAGAAAGGAAGGAAGAAGAGAGAAGAAAAAAGAAGAGAGAAAAGAAGAAAAGAAAAGAAAAGAAAACGGGGAGGGGCATATCTCTTTGACTAGTGACTACCCAGGATACAGCTGACTGAAACCTCGACCTGTGGGGCCTCAAGTGATCTTCTCCTTGTCTCAGCCTCCTGAGTAGCTGCGACTACAGGTGGGTATCAGCACGCACAACACATCTTATAACAATATTATGATTATTATTGAGACAGAGTCTCACTTTATCTCAATAATTGCCATGGCACGATCTCAGCTCACTGCAACCTCGGCCTCCCTGGTTCAAGCAACTCGCCCGCCTCTGTCTTCTGAGTAGTTGTGATTACAAACCTATGCCACCAGTTCCTGGCTAATTGTTCTATTTTTCATAGAGATGGGGTTTCACCATGTTGGCCAGTCAGGTCTTGAACTCCTGGCCTCAAGTGATCCACCCACCTTGGCCTCCCAAAGTGCTGGAATGACAGCCGTGAGCCACTGTGCCCGGCCCAGATAATCTTTTTAATAAATTGTAAAGAAGGGGTTTCGTCAGCAGCTGGGTGGAGGGTGGGGTGGGTTTTACTCAGACTGCGTACTGTGAAAAGTGTAAATTAGTGTGGTTTGTGAACTAGATGTGGAAATTGTGTGTGTGTGTGTGTGTGTGTGTGTGTGTGTGTGAGAGAGAGAGAGAGAGAGACGAATCCCACCATGAGGACCCGGAAATGGTGTTTGATTTGGGTCCCTGTCTACTCACCTCTCTGTCTGTAGATGACTGAGGATTCCACAAATGAAGGTCAGCAGTATCTATTGAGCTGTTTCTCCCTCTCATGGGTCTCATCTGTGTGGTGGAGAAAGGGAAGAAAAGAGGTTCTGATGGGAAGTTGTCTTCATGCCTGAGGAAGCTGAAGGCAGGCTGAGGGAAAGGAGGGCATCCTATGTGACATTTCCATACCTGCACACCCTTTACAATGCTGGGGCTGCCAGTCCACCCTGTACGTCAACCCACCCCCAAGAACAGCATGGTCCGGGGTGATCCAGTCCATCCCATCCGGCCCACCCGGGGCATCTGGTGGAAGTCTTCGCTGGAGGATTCGAAAGCAGCATTAACGTCGTTCCCTTGGGGTCGCCGGGCAAAGGCCAGCTGGAGGAGGGTGGCGGGATGTGAAGCGGGGCGGGGCATCGGCCTCAGAGCTCCCTGGAAGGTGGCAGGCAGCTGGTGGGGGACGCTGAGCCAGAGACGTCTGGCAGGATATAGATCTGGAAGCCGCGTCAGTCCTCTCCCATACCTCTCCCATGGAAAATCCCATCGCGGCAGTGGGAGCCTTGGCTGGGGGAGAAGCGGGGACAAGGGGGAGAGGGAAGGAGGCCCTCAGGAGGATTTAGCACCGAAAACCCACCCAGCCAAGCTCCCTCCCTCCTATGGGGTCCAAGGTACACCCTGGGAGGCGGCAAGAGAAACGTTCACCCCGTGCTTTTTGTCTTTCTCTTTATTTTTTTCATCTTTTCAATTTTACAAGAGATGCTCATTTCAACAACTAGACCGTGGATGTGACGGGAGAAGTGTCAAGGCCAGGAGTTTGAGACAAGCCCGAGCAACTGAGCAACACAAGTAGGAGAGCCCAGCTGAAAACAATGAAAAAAAGAAGGAGGAGGAGGAAGAAAGAAAAGAAAAGAAAGAAAAGAAAAAAAAAAAGAAAAGAAAAGAAAAAAGGAAAACAACCACCAAGAAAGTTAAAATTCTCTAATGGTTCAGGCACAAAAAAGAGCGATTTCACGTCTTTTCCCACAATATGGATAGAGCTGGAAGCAAGTATGTACCCAGTGAACTGCCTTCTGCTTACAAGTGGGAGGTAAACAGTGGGTACGCACACGGTCATCAAGATGGAAATAGAAGACACTCCAAAAGGGAGGAGGAGGGTAAGAGGGGGACAAGGGATGAATAAATCACCTGTCAGAGACAATGTTCGCCACGTGGGTATCGGATACACTGGAGATCCACTTCTACAACCAGAGGCAGCAGTAGGCCGATCTAACAAACAAGCACGTACACCCCCTGAGTCTGTAAGATACCAAAACAATGACGACAGCACCACCAGCAGCAACAACAACAACAAAACAGAAGCTGGAACACAAAACCACCACCACCACAATCACCAGTTGGGGGTTGGGGGAGGGTGGCCGCGCTCGAGGCCCTCAGGCTCAGTCCCCTCGGGTTTAAAAAAGAAAACAGCAGACTCATTCCTGTCTGTAGGCAGGAAAAATCCAATCAAAGTTCTCCATTGCTAGAAAGGGAAGTAGAATAAGGAGAAGGGCTTATTGATCTTCTTGTGGTCGATCGAGACCATACGTGTAGTAAAAAATTAAATTCAGACAGGAATACTGTCTACACTGTTCAAAAGCATTGGAGATCAGACACACCACACTCCACGGGGCTTGTGCCACTAGAAAGAAAAGGCAGGCCGGGCGAGGTGGCTCACGCCTGTCATCCCAGCACTGTAGGAGGCCGAGGCGGGCAGATCACGAGGTCAGGAGATCGAGACCATCCTGGCTAACACGGTGAAACCCCGTCTCTACTAAAAATACAAAAAAATTAGCTGGGCCTGGTTTGGGCGCCTGTAGTCTCAGCTACTCAGGAGGCTGAAGCAGGAGAATGGCATGAACCAGGGAGGTGGAGCTTGCAGTGAGCCGAGATAGCACCACTGCACTCTGGCCTGGGCAAAAGAGCGAGACTCCGTCTCAAAAAAAAAAAAAAAAAAAAAAGAAAAGCCAGGCATAGTGCTGCATGCCTGTAGTCCCAGCTACTAAGGAGGCTGTGGTAGAACAATCACTTGACCCAGCAGTTTGAGGCTGCAGTGAGCTATAATCATGCCACTGCACTCTGGACTGGGTGACAGGTGAAACCCTATCTCAAAACAAAGAACAACCAAAAACCTACAAGCATTCTCAGAGATAGTGGGTTTGGTTCCAGACAACCACAATAAGGTAAATGTTACAAACAAGTTAATCGCATAAACACTTTGTTTCCCAGTGCTTATAAAAGTTATGCTTAAACTATGTTGTAGTCTAATGAGTATTTAATAATTATTAATTAATTAATTAGTAATCGCATTATGTCTACAAAACTATGTACATACATTAACTTAAAATACCTCATTGCTGAAAAATACTAATGAATATCTGAGCCTTACCAAGTCATAAACTTTTTGCTGGTGAGTGAAGGGGTGGCCCACCCCTCCAGACTTGTAGGTATTTCTAGTCAGGTGGGACAAGAGACTGAGAAAAGAAGTAAGACACAGAGACATAGTATAGAGAAACAACAGTAGGCCCAGGGGACCGGCGCTCAGCATACCAAGGACCTGCACAGGCACCAGCCTCTGAGTTCCCTCAGTTTTTATTGCTTATTATTTTCATTATTTCAGCAAAAAGGAATGTAGTAGGAGAGCAGGGTGATAATAAGGAGAAGGTCAGCAAAAAACATGTGAGCAAAAAAATCTATGTCACAATTAAGTTCTAGGGAAGGTACTATGAGTGGACGTGCACGTAAGCCAGATTTATGTTTCTCTCCACCCAAACATCTCAGTGGAGTAAAGAATAACAAAGCAGCATTACTGCAAACATGTCTCGCCTCCCACCATAGGGCGGTTTTTCTCTTATCTCAGAATTGAACAAATGTACAATCAGGTTTTATACTGAGACATTCAGTTCCCAGGGGCAGCCAGGAGACAGTGGCCTTCCTCTATCTCAACTGCAAGAAGCTTTCCTCTTTTACTAATCCACCTCAGCACAGACCCTTAACGGGTGTCGGGCTGGGGGACAGTCAGGTCTTTCTCATCCCATGAGGCCATATTTCAGACTATCACATGGGGAGTAACCTTGGACAACATCCCGCTTTCAAGAGCAGAGGTCCCTGCGGCTTTCTGCAGTGCATTGTGCCCCTCGTTTATTGAGACTAGAGAATGGCGATGACTTTTACCAAGTATACTGCTTGTAAATATTTTGTTAACAAGGCACATCCTGCACAGCCCTAGATCCCTTAAACCTTGATTTCATACAACACATGTTTTTGTGAGCTCCAGGTTGAGTCACAAAGTGGCTGGGGCAAAGCTACAAATTAACTTCTCAGCAAAGCAATTGTTTAAAGTACAAGTCTTTTTCAAAATGGAGTCTCTTACGTCTTTCCTTTCTATATAGACACAGTAACAGTCTGATCTCTCTTTCTTTTCTCTTACAGTGAGGGTCTTGCCTCTATGTTGATGGCTGCTGACTGGTCAGTGTGGGGGCTGCTGAAGGTTGGGTGCTTTTGTAAATTTCTTAAAACAATGAATTTTGTTCCTTTCACAAAAGATTTCCCTGTAGCATGTGATGCTGTTTGATAGCATTTTATCCACAGTAGAACTTCTTTAAAAATTGGAGTAAACCCTCTCAAACCCTGCTGCTGCTTTATCAACTAGGTTTATGGAATATTCTAAATCCTTTGTTGTTATTTCAACAATGTTCGTAGCGTCTCCACCTGGAGTAGATTCCATCTCAAGAAAATATTTTCTTTGCTCATCCATAAGAAGCAACTCCCCAGATGCTCAAGTCTCATAATGAGTTTACAGCAATTTAATCTCATCTAAAGGCCCTAATTCTAATTCTGGTTGTCTTGCTATTTCTACCACATCTGTAGGGACTTCCTCCACTGACATCCTGAGCCTTCAAAGTCTTCCATGAGGGCTGGAATCAACTTCTTCCAAACTCCTGTTAATGTTGATATTTCAACCTCCTCCCATCAATCACAAATGTCCTTAATGGCATTTGCTATTAAGGACATTTATGATTCACACGAAGAGGTTGAAATATCATGAAAGGATTAATGGTGAAACCTTTCCAAAAGGTTTTCAATTCAGTTTATCCAGATTCATCAAAGAAATTACTATCTATGACAGATATACCTTTACAAAATGCATTTATTATTTAATAAAAACACTTGAAAGTCAAAACCACTGCTTGATCCACAGGCTGAAGGATAGATATTGTATTAGCAGCCATGAAAATAATATTAATTTCCAAGTACATCTCCATCTAAGCTTTTGGGTAGCTAGGTGAATTGTCAATAAGCAGCAATATTTTTCTTTTTTTTCTTTTCTTTCTTTTTTTTTTTTGGCCTTTATGTAGTTTCCTTCTTGTTGCCCAGGCTGGAGGGCAGTAGCATTGTCTCGGCTCACCACAACCTCCACTTCCAGGGTTCAAGCCGTTCTTCTGCATCAGCCTCCCAAGTAGCTGAAATTACAGATACCACCACTATGCCTGGTTAATTTTTTTGTATTTTTATTAGAGACAGGGTTTCATCATTTTCACCAGGCTGGTCTTGAACTCCTGACCTCAGGTGATCCACCCACCTCGGCCTCCCAAAGTGCAGGGATTACAGGTGTGAGCCATTGTGCCTGGCCAAGCAGCAATCCCTTTAAAGGAATTTTTTTTTGTTGTTGTTGTTTTTTCTGAGCAGTAGGTCTCAATAGTGGGATTAAAATATTCAGTAAACCATGCTGTTAACAGATGTGTTGTCACTTGGACTGTAATGTTCCATTTCTAGAGCACAGAATGAATAGATTTTGCATAATTCTTAAGGGCTCTGAGATTTTCAGAGTGGTCAGTGAGCACTGGCTGTAACTTAAAGTCACCAACTGCAGTGGTCCTCAAAGAGAGTCAGCCCATCCTTTGAAGTTTTGAAGCCAAGTGTGGACATCTCTCTAGCCATGAAAATTTTACATCTTCACTAAGCTTAATCATTTCTAGCTCTGGACTTCAAGTGAGAGACGTGAAATTCTTCCTTTCATTTGAGCTCTTTGAGGCCACTCTGGTTACTAATTAACACCCCCGGCAGGTGTCATCCTCCTCCCTCCTCAATCGAGTTCACCCACACCAGGGCATGGGGAACTGGGCTTGCCGCACCCCACAGGCCCTGCACGCCTGGAGCTCTCCCACAGGGGGCTTTCGTGAGCCAGGGAGCAAGGGCCGTCCCACCGCTCCAGCCTAGCCAGGCTGCGCAGGCAGAAGGAATCTCTCAACCTGCCCCGGCACGCTGGGATTTTGTGTTTGCTGCCCTGGCTCCTCTAGAAGTAGGACTGTCCCACCCTCAGACTCCTCGGTGGCCTCCGCACCCCCAAAAATGCCAGGAGGACCAGGACCCGCAGCACGGCGGCCTGCTGGGTGCATGCTCAGTGGGACAGCTTGGGTACCCTCAAGCTGAGTCACAGGGGCAAAGTATGTTTGCGCCACCCACGTCCCACCAGAGTCCGCGGTGGGGCTGGAGCCCCAGGTCGCCATGGCGGCGTGGGAAACCGAAGACGGGGCACCTCCACTTTCGAAGCTGGCGACCCCAGAGACCTCCGCGTCAAGCACATATGCAAGCCATCCAGGCACCTCCCAACCGCTCCAGGAGCCGGGGCGCTCGTCTACACTCACCCCCAGCCAGTTAGATGAGCTCCTGTAAACCCCAGAGTTCCAGCAAAAGGCACAACCTTTCCTAGATCCGGCGCCACTGGGGGAGCTGAAGGACGTGGAAGAGCCCGCTCCGCTGGAAGCACTCCTCAGCTAGGAAGAACAGCGGGCTGTGCTGGAGGAGCTTTAGGACGCGGGGTTGGGGCGGGGTAGGGGCAGGGCGGCGGCCTCTCTTTCGCGGTGAACCTCTGACTCGGTATGGAGAGGCGTGTCTTCCCTTCCAGCTGACCTGCCTAGGATCCCTGAGTTCCAGGTCGCGTGAGAGACTCCACTCAGAGGAGGGCTGTCATTCTTTTCTGAGCATCCCGGGGATCCCAGGGCCCCTCCAGGTACCGGGAGGCAGACTGTCTACTGCTCATGCGCGGATTAGCAGGCAGTAGCCTAGGTTTTCTAACTAGCCTAGGTGGAGCTCTCATCACTTCCCTCTTGCCCCCCACCGCGTTCTTCAGTGGGGAGGGCGGAGAACTCCATCCCGGGAAACACTGGCCCGGGCAGGCGCCAGGACTGCTCTTCTTTCCGCGTCTCGCCAACTCTGCCTCCCCGCCACACCGTCACTGGCCTACCCTTGCCCCGCCAGCTTCCTCGGCATCACCGTGGAGCGCCTGACAGCTAAATGCAGACCCGAGACCCCGGGCAAACCGGGGTGCTGCCCTTTCTACGCGGGAGGGAACTCAGGCAGAGATGGGGAGAGGAACGGAGACAGAGAGGGAGGGAACGATGGAGGGAGGAAAGAACGGATGGACCGAGGGACCTTGGAAAGGATGGAGGGATAGAAGGAAGGAGAGAGGGAAGGAGGGAGGGAGGGAGCGAAGGAGGGGGGGAGGAACTGCGGGAGGGACAGAGGGAAAGAGGGAGGGAGGGAGCAAGAAACAGAGAGAGGAAGGCAGAGAGAAAAGCAGTCTTCTGACTCCAGGACCACCAGGATCTTGCACTCCGGGAAAATGCTGGGTGCCCAGTGCAGGCTAAGTGCTCCGCCCACAGCCGCGTCGGCCTGCGGGGCTCTCACCGGCCCTCTGGATCGCCAGCCTGGGTTACTTCATCCGAGAGCGATTCAGCCGAATTTCGTCTCCCAAGGAATGAGGGAATTGCCCAGAGAGCAATGAGCCGAGACTCGGGTGATTGTCCATTTTTCATCCACATGGTTCACAGATGAGATAGCCCCACGTTGAGCCTGCAACGGAGCGCTAGGTGGATAGTCTCGTCCACACAGGAGTCACACTCAGGCTGACTGAAGCGTGGTTTCGGGTTCCACGTTCCTTTGCCTTCTGCAAGGGGACCTGTTGCTCATGCATCTCTGGCCCCCGAAAGCGTGACCATGTTGACTATTTGTTTCCCGAGCTCTCTGGGGACACAGAAACCTCCAGAGAACCGCGGAAAAGCAGCATCGTGTCTTCGCTCTCCTTTCCAGTTCCCTGTTTGGAAACAGGCCATAGTGGAGACTCCCCATGTTGCAGGAAACAGGAATCCCTCTTCAGGCCGTAATGCACCGGGCCTTTCTTTTCTCTGTAGTTTCGCTCTCGTTTTCTACATGAAAATGAATGAGATCCGTAAGGAATCAGAAAAGGATTTATAGCACACAAGTCTTGACAACTGTCACATTCCACTTTGAAATCACTCTGAGGTGAAACAACAATTTTCCAAGATTTAAAGAAAAATAGATTTTATAAAAGGGATTCTTTTATTCACTCAATACATCGTTTATGTTACTGACAGTAACAAGTGATATTTTTTCCACTATAATTTGCTCTGATGAAATAAATAATTCTTTTAATTCCTAATAAATGCTACATTTTCAAGACTAAAGGAATTATCAGTAGGCATTCTTTCTTCTTGATCTAAGTTATTTGTCTCTAAAATATGTCAAGTAAGCTTTTAAAGATTCAGGGAAGGGCAGCTTCATGATTTTTTTCTCTCAGTAAATTTTGAGGTGGCTTCTCTGGCTTCATCGCTTCACTGTGATCTTTTTCTTCCTCTTCTTTATTATTTTCTTCCATTTTTTCATCCTCCTCACTGTCTAGAGGCTGAGGAATAAGCTGATTACCCACAAATACGTAAGTGGTAATTCTCTGTTTAACTCTCTTTCTTTTCCTTTTGGGTGGAGCCCTTTGAGGAATCCCCTTGGCCTGCATCTCATCATTTATGAAATTTCTAAGTGTGCATCAAATGTAAATACGAGCCAAGTCCTGTAGATTCCTGACAGTGATTCCTTACAGATTTGTAGTGGGGAGGGTTAGATTTAATTTTATATAAGGTTTGAATAATTGTTAAGCTTATGTAACCTGATCTGAATTTGCACTTCCTCTATGAAAACTTCACTTATCTAATAAGGAAATCAAATGCTTTGTAGACCTATTTACCTTACTTTTGTTGCAATCACTGTTGCTGGGTTGCTGTATATATATTCTGGGCAATATATGAGTGCAATAACAATACAAAATATTGAATAATTTAGCTTTTAAAAATCCCACAAATTTTATGGAATTTTACAGCCCTGCTACTTTTGCTTTTGAATCTCTTGCCAAATACACGAGTAAAATATCTGCTTCTCTCAGAGAGATTTTAAGAGCACAGCAAGTGAATTATTAAAATAGGAAGTATGTACTTAATACAACTCTTTATATGGACACTTTACATTTTCAGTATTTTAAAAAATGAGGTTACCTTAACTCTCTAGAATTTTAAAAGTATATTTAGAATTGTTTTTTCTGTAGTTCACTGTATAAAGTATTTGTTTTTTTTAAAAAAGCAAAACCATTGTTATGTGTGACACTTGATAGGCCACAGAACGAGTGAATGAGCATGAGTGAGGCCACTTTCTTAGAGGGCTGTAAGTAGCAGCGCCATGGTAGACCTGGTCAGCGGATGCACTTTAGCAGATGGAACTTCTAATTTATCTGAATATTTATCTTTGACAAGGTAGGGCTGAGCCTACATTTGTTTTGGAACTTTCTACTACAAGAAATATTCACAGAAATTGTATGTAGATACTCTTTGTTTGGAAAATCCTGTTCAGAATCCTAGTGTAATCTTTGGGACTTATGCCATGCTCATTTGACTTCTTCCCATACTTTTTATGTTTCTTTTGGTAAAACTATAATGGTTTTCATTTTTCACTTAATATCACACAATTAAACTGTCATATTTGAGTTTATTGTAACTTATCAGTGATAAAAAACAGATAGTAACTGCCATTGTTTGTTTCTTTGTTTTCCTAATAAGGCCTGAAAACAGCCATTCCTTGTTAAGAAAGTGTGCAGTGTAACATATTTGCTAGAGTTACATGGATTATATATTTCTTAAAGGGAAAAATTTGAGAGTATCATGGATTACCACCAGCATTATTATTATAGCAGTTGCTCAGATTTGGTTAAGGAAGCCCAATCAATGTATAGTGAAAGGATTATTTGCTCTCTGCTAAGATTCAGATATTGTTTAAAAAATCTCAGCTCCAATAATTCCACAACATCTAAAAACAAGTGTTTGTGATCATGTGTAAGCATGAAATTGTTCCAAGTAAGTGAGGATATTGTAGTTATGTGAAAGACAGTGTCAATGGAAGGTTATTTGTTTTATACCAGTGGCTGGGATGGTGGAATTGGGGTTATTTCTACAGTTATTCTTAGACGATTACTAAACTGTTAAGAAATGCCCCATATCATTTGTATCTAGGAAAGAAAAAAGTCAGTATCATACTGCTGTCATCTGTCAGAAGTGTTCATTTTATTTTGAATTAAACGTGGCTTTTTAAGTTACCTTGAATTCCTGGTGACCACATGTTTTTATCTGGAAAACCTGGGGAAAGTTATCTGTCCCATCTACCCTGCTGTTTTTGTTTTTTGTTTTTTGTTTTTTTGTTTTTTTTTTTCTCGGTTGGAGCTGCTGTTTAGATGATGCTTTTACTATGTAGGAGAGAGTTTTTGTTAAGGATATATTTGAAGATTGGCTTTTCCATATTGTCTTTCATTCTTTGACCTTGGCAAAGTGTACAGTAGATTTTCATGATCATTGCAGATTTCTTGTCATTGAAACGTATCTTTTATGTTTTTAAATGCATTCATTTTACACTCATGACTTTATCATTGACTTTAAGAGGTAGAAATAAAAAATGAAAATAAAAAAAATCAATGAGATCCACACACCTGCGTGTGTGACTATCACGGCAATGGAGACACCCACAGGCATTGCCGGCTTCAGGGAGAGGGACTGGAAAACTCAAGACTATCATGGAGGTTCAGTTCCACACTCTACCCTTCCAGGGTGGTTTCTCCCTGAAATCGTGTGTGAACCCAGAGAGAAACTTCCAGTTTCTGTAGAATTCTGGAGAACTCAGAGAGCCAGTCCCAGAAGCCCCCCTTTCCCATCCGATCTGGCCCCACCTTCACCTACCACACAAGGCCCTGTGTCTGTGGTTTCTGGGCCCTTCGGAGGGCGGGTTACCCAGGGCCCTTGGGTGTTCATGCATATTCATGAAGGGGTGAAGCTGGTGGGTCTTTATAAGGGCCACTGGCGGGGTCGGACTCCTGCCTGGACCTGCGTGCAGCACAGAGGCCAACTGAGGCCCACGGGAGCCGCCGGCCTCTATCTGTCTGTGTCTGTCCGTGAAATTCCAGCCAGGTGCCCTCGCGATGGCTCTCCCGACACCTTCTAACAGCCCCTTCCCCGCGAAAGCCCGAGGACGAGGACGGCAAAGGAGACTGGTTTGTAACCTGAACGAAAAAGATGCCCTGCCAGCATGCTTTGAGCGGAACCTGTACCCGAACTGGCCAGAGAGACCTGCCTATTGGAGTCCAGGATTCAGATTTCGTGTCAGAATCGAAGGTCCAGGCATCCAGGCCAGGGTAGCAGGGAACCCGCGCACGCAGGCGGCCTGTGCAACGCGGCCTACAGCGGGTGCCACCCTCCCTCCTTGGTCGCCTTCACCCACGCCAGGGCGTGGGGAACAGGGGGCTTTCGTGAGCCAGACAGCAAGGGTCGCCCCTCTGCTGCAGCCCAGCCAGGCTTCGCAGGCAGAAGGAATCTCCCAACCTATCACGGCACACAGGGATTTTGGATTTGCGGCCCTGGCTCCTTCGGAAGTGGAGCTGTCCCACCCTCAGACACCTGGGTGACCTCAGCATCCGAACAGATGGCAGCAGGACCAGGACCCGTAGTACGGTGGCTTTCTCGGTGCGTGCTCAATGGGACAGCTTGGGCCGCTCAGGCTGAGTCACAGGGGCAAGGTGTGCTTGCGCCGCACACGTCCCACATGAGTCCATATTGGGGCTGGGGCCAGGGTCCACAGGTCGCCAGGGCTCGTGGGAACGCGAAGCCGAGGCACATCTACGCAGCTCGCGCCCATGGAGGTCTCGGCGTGTCAGAAGAAGATGTAAGCAATCCAGGCACCCTCCCAACCGCTCCAGGAGCTGGAGTCTTCATCTGTACTCGCATCCACCCTGTTATATGAGCTCCTGTCTACCCCATTTTTCAGCAAAGGACACAGTTTCAGCAAAGGACACAACCTTTCCTAGCAACGGAGCCGCTGAGGGATTTGAAGGACTTGGAAGAGCCTGCTTTTCTGGAACCACTCCTCAGCCAGGAAGAACACTGGGCTCAGCTGGAGGAGCTTTAGGACGCGGGGTTGGGACCGGGTGGGGGCAGGTCAGTGGCTCCTCTTTCGCGGTGAACCTCTGGTTCAGTATGGAGACCTGTGTCTTCCCTTCCAGCTGACCTGTCTAGGATCCCTGAGTCCAAGTCCAGCGAGAGACTCCACAGAAAGGAGGGCTGTCATTCTTTCCTGAGCATCCCAAGGATTTCAGAGCCAGCCCAGGTACTCAGAGATGGGCCGTCTACTGCGCATGCGCAGGTCCGCGGGCAGCCGGCTAGGGTTTGGGACCAGCCCAGGCAGGGCTCTCATCCCTTCCCCCACTCCCCCACACAGTACATCCCCCCCTCCCCCGCGTTCTTCAGTGGTGTAGGTGGAGACCTCCACCCCGGGAAATACCGATCCGGGCAGCGGCCAGGCCTGCTCTCCTTTTCGCAGCTCAACTCCACTACCTCCCCGCTCCACCCTCCCTTGCCCACCCGTGCCCCGCCATCCTCCTTGGCATCACGTGAAGCGCCCGGGAACTAAATGTAGACCCCGAGATCTCGTGCAAACCGTGGTTCTGCCCTTTCTAGGCGGGAGGGAAGCCAGGCAGAGATGGGGAAAGGAACGGAGACAAAGTGAGAGAGAGGGACAGAGGGAGGAAAGGACGGATGAAAGGACGGACCTTGGAAGGGATGGAGGGAGGGAGGGAGGGAAAGAAAAAGGAAGGGAGGGAGGGAAGGAGGGAGAAAGGGAGGTATGGATGGTGGGAGAGAGGGAAGGAGAGAACAGAGGGAGGGAGGGAGACAGGGAGGGAGAGAGGGAGAGAAGGAAGAACAGAGGGAAGGATGGACAGAGGGAGAAAAGGAGCAAGAAACAGAGAAGGGAAGGCAAAGAGAAAAGAGGTCTTCTGCCTCCAGGCCCAGCAGGACCTCGAACTCCGGGAAAATGTTGGGTGCCCAGTGCAGGCTGAGTGCTCAGCCCACAGCCGCCTCGGCCGGCGGTGTGCTCACCGGCCCTCTGGTTCACCAGCCTGGGTTACTTCATTCGGGAGCGATTCAGAGGAATTCCACCTCCCAAGGAATGAGCGAATTCCCCAAAGATCAGAGACGAGACTCGAATGGTTGTCCGTTTTTCATCCACATGGTTCACAGATGACATATCCCCACGCTGAGCCTGCAACAGAGCGCGAGGCAGATACTCCCATCCACACAGGAGTCACACTCAAGCCGAGTGAACCATGATTCCGGATTCCACGTTCCTTTGCCCTCTGCAAGTGGGACTGCTGCTCACGTGTCTCTGGCCCCCGAAAGCGTGACCATGTTGACTGTTTGTTTCCCGAGCTCTGTGGGGACACAGAAACCCCCAGCGAAGGGTGGAAAAGCAGCATCGTGTCTTCGCTCTCCTTTCGTTTCCAAACAGGCCATTTTGGAGACTCCCCATGTTGCAGGAAACAGGAATCCGTCATCAGGCCGTGATGCCTCAGTCCCTTGCCCAGGCTATAGGCCCACCAGGCAGCCTCCCTTTTGCTGACACTCCAGGCCTTCCCCCCGGCTCGCGAGCTCCCGATTTTCCAACACATCGGGCCGGCTCAAGACAGGGTGTGCTTGGAGGAGTCAGGGCCCGGGGCCCACAGTCCTGGGATCCCCTCTGGTCCTCCGCCTTGCCACGGAAAAATTGTTTTGGATCCTTCGCCACCCCTCCTGCAAGGCCCCCTCTTGGCCCACACACCCAGAGCAGTCAGGGCTGCCCAGGGGCAAACAGCTGGCCCAGCCCCGCAGGCCCTTTTTCTCACAATACCCACACCATCGTCGCTTGTCCCAACGAGGACCCGCCCGTGGCCAACGGGACAGGAAGTCCCTGCTTTGCCCCGCGCCGGCACTAGAGCCTCGGCAGCCTGATCCCGGGAAACAGGAGCTGACGGACACGCAGACACACCCCACCACTACCACGAGCAAACCCACCACGACACACACACAGATACACACGGGTGCATGCACACAGCACACATGGACACACACACAGACACACACACGGACACACAAAGACACACACACGGAAACACACACACGGACACACATACAAGGACATACAGACCAAGACACAGACACAGCTTGAAAGAGAGCTAGGGAGACCGGGATGGAGAGATACAAATGGGGGGAGAGAGAGAAAAGTGCAGGGGGAGAGAGACAGAAGGTGACAGAAGAGCGAGGGTTGGAGGGGGAAGTAGAGAAAGGGAGAGGGTGAGGGAGTTGTAGAGCGAGAGAGACCGAGCCTTGGAGAGGGAGGCTCTGCTCAGGTAGACAGGGCACTTTGAGCAGGCCGAGGTGAGGTGGAGGGTGCTTGGGCCAGGCTAGAACAGGGGGTCAGGGCCGCCCATGCGGGAAAACCAACTGAGCCCTGAGACGTGTTTTTTTTTTTTCTTGGATTGGTTGGTTGCTTTGGGGGTGCGTTTCATAGGGTCCTTCCTTTGTTTGCTTCTTCCTGTCTCCTTGGTGCTGTGGGCCCCGAGATTTGTAGAGTGCACCCGTCCATCTGGTGGAAGCCGTGGCACCGAGCGTGTCCATGGGGCCAGGTCTGGGTCTCTCTCGTGTCCTCGGGACTAGAGTTTACACGAAGTTGGTGGCAATGGGAAACAGGGTGCACAGGGACAGATTTCTTCGTGGCTGGCGAAGACAATGTCCTTCCCCCGGGGAAAGCAGCCCACGGGTTCTGGAGCGGAGGTCTTGGATGGCAACTGTGGGACCTGCTGCCCCAACTTGGATGGTTGCGGGGGCGCTTGATGAATGAATTGAGTTGCCTGGGGTCCGGGGAGCAGGAACACACCCCGGAGGGCAGGAAACCCGCGTCTGCGCCTTCCAGGTCTAGTACCTGCTGCAGCGCCCCGGCTGGAGCCGGGCTCCTGGTGGGGCTGCAGCCAGGCGAAAGAGGTGGGATGCTGCCACCTGGCGGTATTGCAGCTGCAGACCCCCACGAGGAGGTTTCATTTTGACATAAATCTTTTTCTTTCTTCAGCTGATCTGTATCCTTAATTTTAGATTAGTGGTAACTCCACAAATCTAGAGGCACAAAATATGGTTGCCCACACCTTATAATCGCATTACCACCTCCCATTACCACCACCTTTCCCCCTCCTCCCCACCCTCAACCTGTAGACTAGGTCTCGCGATGTTTCCAAGGCTGGCCTCAAATTCCTGGGCTTAAGTTATTTGCCTGTCTTGGCCTCTCAAAGTGCTGGGATCAGCGGTGTGAGTCCCCAGGCCCAGCCAACCACCACGAAGTTTTGATTCAGCAGCACTGGGTCATGGAGCTAAGGACCCACAAATTTAGAAAAGTTTTTAAATATCATAACATTTCTGTGAGGAAATAGTATTTGGTATTACATTTTTAGACTCTTTTATAATGTTCTGTTTTTTTCCACTGAGCACAGTACTAAGTAGTAATTGGAAAAACACAGTGTAAGTCATATTACTTTTTCTAATACAGAGTCCTTGGCTGTTCTCTAAGCTAAACCTGATCACCTACATTGAGTAAAAGAAAAAGCCCCAGAGTGTGAGGAGACAGGAGATAGTAGCCAAACATCCAAATAGGTGGGAGTGAATAAGGCAGATGACACAGATGAGATGACCAAAGGTCAAGGAAAAAGCCAGATCTTAAAGTGTGGTTTGCGAAGCTATGCTCCAATGGAAATCTTTTCCGAGAAGCCCTGATTTCTTTCTCTTGCTTTCATTAGAGACAGATATCTTCTGCCCTATGCTCTTCAATTTTCTAGGACTGGACTTCCCCTTCAACGATCATTCTTCTAGGTTACAAAGAAAATCAAAGCCCTTTGCATGGCTTACAAGGGACTGGAGGACCTGGCTCTTGCTCTTTTATTGCTTTTGAGGACATGGGGCCGTCTGTGATTTTTAAGGAACTCTATGTTAAACATTTTCTAATTTCCATTTTGGGTCTTGTCTAAAATGTGTGAGAGTAGTGGAGATATTGGGATTTGGTTTAGAAATCCCAGAAACACCACATCCAGATGTCGTATGTTTTCTGCTTTATAATTTCATATCCTGTGAAGGTTTCAAATGTGATTCTACAGAAATTCATACTCAATAATTTAATCAGAACACTAAGCCTCTGCCCCATATAATAAAACGAAATGTTATTTTACTTCAAAATTTTAAGTTTTTGGTATGTATTGAGGCTAATACTGTAAACACTCTGTGCCATAATTCCTAAACTGTAATATGGTTTAATGTATCTACTTTCTACATTTAAAACATGTACTTTGCCATTGAGGAACTTAGAATATTGCTGAGCATGTATTAAATACCCATTTTTTTCTTGATTTTTAAATAGTTATCATTTTATAGTTTTCTCTTGTTTAGTTTGAAGCTTACTAGGATATTGTCATTGATATGTATGTATATATATATACACATACACACACACAAGTATATACGTATGTAATTGATATATACGTATATGTTTTATATA
Source organism: Homo sapiens (assembly GCF_000001405.40). Classification (NCBI taxonomy): domain Eukaryota; kingdom Metazoa; phylum Chordata; class Mammalia; order Primates; family Hominidae; genus Homo; species Homo sapiens. The sequence goes on from NC_000022.11 coordinate 11,287,335, forward strand.
TGTGTATATACACACTTATGTGAATATATGCATGTGTACATAACATTAATTTTTTGACCAATAAAAATTGCATAATTATGTATTGTGTATATTATAAAAGTTTGATAGGTATATATATTGTAAAATGTTTAATACAATTAAGTTGATGAATATTTATGTCACCTTACATGGTTATGTTTTTTGTAGTGAGAGCATTTGAGGTCTCCTACTGTTGTAGCAAATTTTAAGCATACAAAACACTGTTATTAACTACATCTTAAAGCTATACATTAGACCCCCAAAACTTATTTATCTTATAACTGAAAGTTTGTACCCTGAACACCTTATCATTTTTTCTACCTCCAGGCCTGGTCATTACCATTGTACGCTCTGCTTCTATGAGTTCAGGCTTTTTAAATTCTCCATTTAAGTGAGAACATACAGTGTTTGTCCTTCCGTGTCTGGCTTATTTTGCACAGCATAATGTACCCAGGTCCATTCATGTTGTTGAAATAGCAGAATTTCATTCTTTTTTATGGGTGAATAATATTCAGTTGTATATTTATACCACATTTTCCTTATCCATTCAGCATCTGCAGATAAGTCATTTAAAAAAAAAATACCCTTGACAGTTGTGAATAATGCTGCATTGAATACAAGGGTGCAGATAATTTTTGAGATGCTGATTTTATTTTGTTTATAGACAGAAGTGGAATTTCGGGATTGTACGATAGTTCTATTTTTTAAAATAACCTGCGTACTAATTTTCATAATGACTCTTCCAGTTTGCAACTCATTAAGAATGTACAGAAATATTTGGTCACATCCTTGTTAACACTTGTCATGTTTCTTTTTTTGATATTAGCCATTCCAACTGCTGTAAACTGGGATCCTTTGATTTGCAATTTTCTCATGAATGGTAATGTTTAGCATCTTTCTACACACCTGTTGGCCATTTGAATATGTTTGTAAAAAATATTTAGTCTTGGTCAGTGGAGCCAAGAGGGCCGAAGAGGAACAGCTCCCGTCTACAGCTCCCAGCGTGAGTGATGCAGAAGATGGGTGATTTCTGCATTTCCAACTAAGGTACCAGGCTAATGTAACTAGCGAGTGCCGGTCAGTGGGTGCAGGACAGTGGGTACAGTGCACCGCGCATGAGACAAAGCAGGGTGAGGCATTGTCTCACCTGGGAAGCACAAGGGGTCTGGGAATTCCCTTTCCTAGTCAAAGAAAGGGGTGACAGATGACACCTGGAAAATCGGGTTACTCCCACCCTAATACTGAACTTGTAAAACCAGCTTCACAAACAGCACACCAGGAGATTATATCCTGCACCTGGCTCGGAGGGTCCTATGCCCATGGAGCCTTGCTCATTGCTAGCACAGCACTCTGAGATCAAACTGAAAGGTGGCAGTGGGACTGGGGGAGGGGCTTGAGTAGGTAAACAAAGCAGCCGGGAAGCTTGAACTAGGTGGAGCCACCACAGCTCAAGGAGGCCTGCCTGCCTCTGTAGGCTCCACCACTGTGGGCAGGGCACAGACAAACAAAAGACAGCAATATCCTCTGCAGACATAAATGTCCCTGTCCGACAGCTTTGAAGAGAGTAGTGGTTCTCCCAGCACACAGCTTGAGATCTGAGAATGGGCAGACTGCATCCTCAAGTGGGTCCCTGATCCCCGAGTAGCCTAACTGGGAGGCACCCCCCAGTAGGGGTGGACTGACACCTCACACGGCCGGGTACACCTCTGAGACAAAACTTCCAGAGGAACCATCAGGCAGCAGCATTTGCAGTTCACCAATATCTGCTGTTCTGCAGCCACCGCTGCTGATACCCAGGTAAACAGGGTCTGGAGTGGACCTCCAGTAAACTCCAACAGACTTGCAGCTGAGGGTCCTGACTGTTAGAAGGAAAACTAACAAACAGAAAGGACATCCACGCCAAAAACCCATCTGTACATCACCATCATCAAAGACCAAAGGTAGATAAAACCACAAAGATGGGGAAAAAACAGAGCAGAAAAACTGGAAACTCTAAACATCATAGCATCTCTCCTCCTCCAAAGGATTGCAGCTCCTCACCAGCAACGGAACAAAGCTTGATGGAGAATGACTTTGATGAGTTGAGAGAGGAAGGCTTCAGATGATCAAACTACTCCGAGCTAAAGGAGGAAGTTCAAATGAATGGCAAAGAAGTTAAAAACTTTGAAAAAAATTAGATGAATGGCTTACTAGAATAACCAATGCAGAGGAGTCCTTAAAGGACCTGATGGAGCTGAAAACCATGACACAAGAACTATGTGATGAATGCACAAGCCTCAGTAACTGATGCAATCAACTGGAAGAAAGGGTATCAGCGAAGAAAGATGAAATGAATGAAATGAAGCATGAAGAGAAGTTTAGAGAAAAAAGAATAAAAAGAAATGAACAAAGCCTCCAAGAAATATGGGACTATGTGAAAAGACCAAATCTACGTCTAATTGGTGTACCTGAAAGTGACGGGAGAATGGAACCAAGTTGGAAAACAATCAGCAGGATATTATCCAGGAGAACTTCCCCAATCTAGTAAGGCAGGCCAACATTCACATTCAGGAAATACAGAGAACACCACAAAGATACTCCTCGAGAAGAGCAACTCCAAGACACATAATTGTCAGATTCACCAAAGTTGAAATGAAGGAAAAAATGTTAAGGGCAGCCAGAGAGAAAGGTCGGGTTACTCACAAAGGGAAGCCCATCAGACTAACAGTGGATCTCTCACCAGAAACTCTACAAGCCAGAAGAGAGTGGGGGCCAATATTCAACATTCTTAAAGAAAAGAATTTTCAACCCAGAATTTCATATCCAGCCAAACTAAGCTTCATAAGTGAAGGAAAAATAAAATCCTTTACAGACAAACAAATGCTGAGAGATTTTGTCACCATCAGACCTGCAATAAAAGAGCTCCTGAAGGAAGCCCTAAACACGGAAAGGAAAAACTGGTACCAGCCACTGCAAAAACATGCCAAATTGTAAAGATCATCGAGGCTAGGAAGAAACTGCGTCAACTAATGAGCAAAATAACCAGCTAACATCATAATGACAGGATCAAATTCACACTTAACAATACTAACGTTAAATGGAAATGGGCTAAATGCTCAAATTAAAAGGCACAGACTGGCAAATTGGATAAAGAGTCAAGACTCATCTGTGCTCTATTCAGGAAACACATCTCACATGCAGAGACACACACAGGCTCAACATAAAGGGACGGAAGAACATCTACCAAGCAAATGGAAAACAAAGAAAGGCAGGGGTTGCAATTCTAGTCTCAGATAAAACAGACATTAAACCAACAAAGATCAAAAGAGACAAAGAAGGCCATTATATAATGGTAAGGGATCAATTCAACAAGAAGAACTAATTATCATAAATACATATGCACCCAATACAGGAGCATCCAGATTCATAAAGCAAGTCCTTAGTGAACTACAAAGAGACTTAGACTACCACACAATAGTAATTGGAGACTTTAACACCCCACTGTCAACATTAGACAGATCAACACGACAGAATGTTAACAAGGATATCCAGGAATTGAACTCAGCTCTGCACCAAGTGGACCTAATAGGCATCTACAGAACTCTCCATCCCAAATCAACAGAATATACATTATTTTCAGCACCACACCACACATATTCCAAAATTGACCACATAGTTGAAAGTAAAGCACTGCTCAGCAAATGTAAAAAAAAAAAAAAATCATAATAAACTGTCTCTCAGACCACAATGCAATCAAACTAGAACTCAGTATTAAGAAATTCACTCAGAACTGCTCCACTACATGGAAACTGAAGAACCTGCTCCTGAATGATTACAGGGTACATAACGAAATGAAGGCAGAAATAAAGATATTCTTTGAAACCAAGGAGAACAAAGATAAAACATACCAGAATCTCTGGGACACATTCAAAGCAATGTGTAGAGGGAAATTTATAGAACTAAATGCCCACAAGAGAAAGCAGGAAAGATCTAAAATTGACACCTTAACATCACAATTAAAAGAACTAGAGAAGCAAGAGCAAACACATTCAAAAGCTAGTAGAAGTCAAGAAATAACTAAGATCAGAGCAGAACTGAAGGAAATAGAGCCACAAAAAAACCCTTCAAAAAATCAATGAATTCAGGAGCTGGTTTTTTGAAAAGATCAACAAAATTGATAGACTAATAAAGAAGAAAAGAGAGATGAATCAAATAGACACAATAAAAAATGACAAAGGGGATATCACGACTTATCCCACAGAAATACAAACTACCGTCAGAGAATACTATAAACAACTCTACATAAATAAACTAGAAAATCTAGAAGAAGTGGATAAATTCCTCTACACATACACTCTCCCAAGGCTAAAGCAGGAAGAAGTTGAATCTCTGAATAAACCAATAACAGGCTCTGAAATTGATGCAATAATTAATAGCTTACCAAAAAAAAGTCCAGGACCAGATGGATTCACAGCCGAATTCTACCAGAGGTACAAGGAGGAGTTGGTACCATTCCTTCTGAAATTATTCCAATCAATAGAAAAAGAAGGAATCCTCCCTAACTCATTTTATGAGGCCAGCATCATCCTGATATGAAAGCTGGGCAGAGACACAACAAAAAAAGAGAATTTTAGACCAATATCCTTGATGAACATTGATGCAAAAATCCTCAATAAAATACTGGCAAAATGAATCCAGCAACACATTAAAAAACTTATCCACCATGATCAAGAGGGCTTTATCCCTGGGGATACAAGACTGGTTCAACATACAAAAATCAATAAACGTAATCTAGCATATAAACAGAATCAAAGCCAAAAACTACAAGATTATCTCAATAGATGCAGAAAAGGCCTTTGACAAAATTCAACAACACTTCATGCTAAAAACTCTCAATAAATTAGGTATTGATGGGACGTATCTCAAAATAATAAGAGCTATCTATGACAAACCCACAGCCACTATCATACTGAATGGACAAAAACTGGAAGCATTCCCTTTGAAAACTGGCACAAGACAGGGATGCACTCTCTCACCACTCCTATTCAACATAGTGTTGGAAGTTCTGGCCAGTGCAATCAGGCAGGAGAAGGGAATAAAAGGCATTCAATTAGGAAAAGAGGAAGTCAAATTGCTCCTGTTTGCTGATGACATGATTGTATATCTGGAAAACCCCATTTTCTCAGCCCAAAATCTCCTTAAGCTGATAAGCAACTTCAGCAAAGTCTCAGAATACAAAATCGTTTTGCAAAAATCACAAGCATTCTTATACACCAATAACAGACAAACAGAGAGCCAAATCATGAGTGAGTTCCCATTCACAATTGCTTCAAAGAGGATAAAATACCTAGGAATCCAACTTACAAAGGATGTGAAGGACCTCTTCAAGGAGAACTACAAACCACTGCTCAATGAAATAAAAGAGGATACAAACAAATGGAAGAACATTCCATGCTCATGGGTAGGAAGAACCAATATTGTGAAAATGGCCATACTGCCCCAGGTAATTTATAGATTCAATGCCATCCACATCAAGCTTCCAATGACTTTCTTCAGAGAATTGGAAAAAAACTACTTTAAAGTTCATATGGAACCAAAAAAGAGCCTGCATCGCCAAGTCAATCCTAAGCCAAAAGAACAAAGCTGGAGGCATCACACTACCTGACTTCAAACTATACTACAAGGCTACAGTAACCAAAACAGCATGATACTGGTAACAAAACAGAGATATAGACCAATGGAATAGAACAGAGCCCTCAGAAATAATGCCGCATATATACAACTATCTGATCTTTGACAAACCTGACAAAAACAAGTAATGGGGAAAGGATTCCCTATTTAATAAATGGTGCTGGGAAAACTGGCTAGCCATATGTAGAAAGCTGAAACTGGATCCCTTCCTTACACCTTATACAAAAATTAATTCAAGATGGATTAAAGACTTACATGTTAGACCTAAAATCATAGAAACTCTAGAAGTAAACCTAGGCAATACAATTCAGGACATAGGCATGGGCAAGTACTTCATGTCTAAAACACCAAAAGCAATGACAACACAAGCCAAAATTGACAAATGGGATCTAATTAAACTAAAGAGCGTCTGCACAGAAGAAACCACCATCAGAGTGAACGGGCAAAATATGGAATGGGAGAAAATTTTTGCAATCTACTCATCTGACAAAGGGCTAATATCCAGAATTTACAATGAGCTCAAACAAATTAACAAGAAAAAAACAAACAACCCCATCAACAAGTGGGTGAAGGATATGAAAAGACACTTCTCAAAAGAAGACATTTATGCAGCCAAAAAACACATGAAAAAATACTCACCATCACTGGCCATCAGAGAAATGCAAATCAAAACCTTGATGAGATAACATCTCACACCATTTAGGGTGGCGATCATTAAAAAGTCAGGAAATGACAGGTGCTGGAGAGGATGTGGAGAAATAGGAACACTTTTACACTGTTGTTGGGACTGTAAACTAGTTCGACCATTGTGGAAGTCGGTGTGGCGATCCCTCAGGGATCTAGAACTAGAAATACCATTTGACCCAGCCATCCCATTACTGGGTATATACCCAAAGGATTATAAATCATGCTGCTATAAAGACACATGCACACGTATGTTTATTGCGACACTATTCACAGTAGCAAGGACTTGGAACCAACACAAATGTCCAACAATGATAGACTGGATTAAGAAAATGTGGCACATATGTACCATGGAATACTATGCAGCCATAAAAAAGGATGAGTTCATGTCCTTTGTAGGGCCATGGATGAAGCTGGAAACCATCATTCTCAGCAAACTATCACAAGGACAAAAAACCAAACACTGCATGTTCTCACTCATAGGTGGGAATTGAACAATGAGAACACATGGAAAAAGGAAAGGGAACATCACACACTGGGGCCTGTTGTGAGGTGTGGGAGGGGGGAAGGATAGCATTAGGGGATATACCTAATGCTAAATGACGAGTTAATGGGTGTAGCAAACCAACATATCACATGTATACATATGTAACAAACCTGCACGTTGTGCGCCTGTACTCTAAAAGTTAAAGTATAATAATAATTTAAAAAGTTTAGTCTTTTGCTATTTTTTAGTTGGGTATTATAATTATTACTGTTTAGCTTCTGATTTGTATGAGTTTCTGCTATATTTTGAATACTAACCTCTTATCATATATGGTTTACAAATGTTTTATCTCATCTTAAATGTTTTCTTATTTTTTTGCTGTGCACAATAGTTTAATACACTACAACTTTGTGTCTTGTTTTATTGCTATACTTTTGATATCATATTTAAAAAACATTGCCAAGGCCAGTATCATGGATGCTTTTCATATGCTTTTCTAAAAATTTTCTTTTAAGGATTTATGTATGAAATTTAAGTCTTTATTTTAAGTCAATTTTTGTGTCTGGTGTAGGAAATATGATCTAGTTTTATTATTGTGCTTGCGAGTATCCAGTTTTCTCAGCACTAAGTATTGAAAAGGCTACACTTTTTGTATGGCGTATTCATAGTGCCCTTGTCAAAGATTAGCTTTAGGTGCATAGATTTACTTCTGGGCTCTGTATTCTGTTCCATTGGTTTTTGTGTTTCTTCCTATAAACATTCCATTCTATTATGTTTACTGTAGTCTTGAAATGTAGTTTTAAATAATAAAGTATAATGTCCCCAGATTTCGTTTTATTCCTCACGATTGCTTTGGCCATTCAATATTTCTTATAGGTTTATATACATTGCAGACTTTATTTTCTATTACTGTAAAAAGTGGCACAGGAATTTTGATAGGAAGTTGAATTAATCTACAGATTGCTTTGGATAATATGGCACTTAGACAATATTCTTCTAATCCATAAATATGTAATATATTTACATTTATTTGTATCTTCTTTATTTTGTATCAATATATTTTATTTTTATCGTAAAGATCTTTCACCACATTGGTTAAATTTATTGCTAAGAAATCTATTATTTTGTTGCTCTTGTAAATGAGATTTTTTTTTTTTTACTGGTTTGTTGCTAGCATATAGAAACAAAACTGATATGTGTATGCTAATTGTATATTCTGCTTCTTTACTGAGTGCATTTATTAGATACACTATTTATATATAGATGCATTAAATACATTATTTAAATGTACTATTTATGTTTTTTATATATAACATTATGTCATCTACAGACAGTGACGTTATTTCTTCTTTTCAATATGGATCTTTTAGCTTTTCTTGCTTAATTATTTGATGTAGGACTTAATTATTCTATGTAGGACTTCCAGTTCTATGTTAAAATAGAACCGTTAGAATGGGCATAATGTAGACTTGCATTGGTGTTTGCACATTTGAAGGAGCAAACGCCTCTTTTCATTTGTTGTTGTTGTTGTTGTTGTTTTGTTTTTGAGACGGAGTCTCACTCTGTCACACAGGCTGGAGTGCTGTGGCACGATCTTGGCTCACTGCAACCTCCGCCTCCTGGGTTCAAGCAATTCTCTACCTCAGCATCCCAAGTAACTGGGATTACAGGCACCAACCATCATGCCTGGCTAATTTTTGTATTTTTAGTAGAAACAGTGTTTTGCCATCTTGGCCAGGCTGGACTTGAACTCCTGACCTCATGATTCACCCACCTAGGCCTCCCAAAGTGCTGGGATTACAGGTGTGAGCCACCGTGCCCATCCACCTCTGTTAATTTTTATAAACTGGTTTTAGTAGGTAAAGATCTTCATCTGTTGGGTCTCAAGGCTGATGAGATCTTTACTGGGTTTGCAGTAAAAAGGCTTGTAGCTGCATCACAAGTTGGCTGCCGAATCTGAAGTGGGTTTTACCTTTAGTGGGCTTGTTACCAGGAGCACGTGTGGTTGTGAGTTATGTCATGTTTTTGGGCAGGCTGGATTATCTTCAGGGCTTTGTTTTGTGGAGCAGGCACTAGGGCAGGTTCTGCTATATGCTGGGCCTAATAGCAGATATGTGGGTGAGTGTGGCTCCCACTGAGTACCTAGCAGGTTTTCCCCAGGTTATCTACAAACAGTGACTTTTGAACTGTTTCGTGTGAGTCACGAGTATGATGTCCCCAGCTTTTTTCTTATTCCTCATGATTGGCTTGGTCATTCAGCCTACATTGTAGGCTTGCATTTTCTATTACTATAAAAAGTGGGACAGGGATTTTGATACGGATTTGAGTTAGCTTACAGATTGCTTTGGATAATATGACACCTTATTAACCAAAAGCCCTGCCTTCTCAAAATGACCCTTTTTGATCTTGGGTTTTAGCAAGGTTTCATAATGCCCTGTATCCCAAAGCTCACTATATTGCCCAGGCTGTTCTTGAACTCCTGGCCTGGCAGTCCTCCCACCTCAGGCTCCTGAATGGAGGAGAGTACTGTCATGAGCCACAGTGCCTGGATCTCTCATAAAGTTACTTTGGTTGATGGATGGCTGACTAGTTTTTATTGCTGCAGGGGAATACAAAAGTAGGGACCCCCTATTCCACCACTTTGATAATGTCACTCTCTCCGTACACTTCTTCCTTATTTTGTTCTCTTGTATGTTTGTGTGTTATTTTAGGTTCAAATATTAAGACCAATAGGCTAGGATTTATATATTGTGTAAAAAGTAAATTAGATAGCTAGTGGGTACCCTATATATATTATAATGTTTACCTATAAGATTAAGTTTAGTGCAGGCAAAAAGGGCTCATTAAAATTTTCATCCACTTTTTTCAACCTCTATCCAAACTATAATTTGTGCCCCAATTTTTATTTTATCAATTACTCTTAACCGTATTTCATAAAATTTATATTTTTTTCTTTATTTAGAAATGTAAGGCTATTATTTGCTTTTAAAGACTGTAATACAGCTTTTTTATTTTGTGAAATAATAGCACCAATATTATAAATATTTATAGTGTAAATACTTATTCATTAAGGTCTTCCCATTAGATAATTTTATTAATTATTGTAGTGCATTTCTGTAAAATTGTACCGCCACACACCACAGGGCAATGATTCAAAATGTCTGGTCTTCACACATGCACAGTCAAAGTTGAACATTGTAGTTATTTAGAAAAATTCTTTTCTAGTATTATATCAATGTTCCAAACAAGATTTTATGGGTAAATATTTCTCCTATACTAGTTTTGCAATTCCATGTTAACTGTATGTTTATTTTAGGTTACATTCCTTGACACTGGTTTATAGAATTTTTGGTTTTACTTAAGTATTATTTTGGATGACAATGTGCAGCAACTTTTAATGTACAGTTTATGTCAATGTGCAGTTTAATTACAATATGAATCAGCCATATATTTATTCACAATTCAAGTTGAACAAACTTAATGAAAATTAAGCAAACTAATGTTACATGATAAAGCCCCAATCAACTATCTTATACTTAAGCAAATACACCAAAAATAGTTTGTAGCTTTATTGCTGCTTTTGTTCAAACTATGTTTTATATTCCGTATGACCAAGGAAATTTCTGACATTGTCCTACCAGGCTAAAGAAACAAACAAAAAGACAATGATTATACTTTCAAGTCACAGTTTGTTTAGAGCCCCACATATTCCATCTGTAGACCACTATGCTCATATTTGTTTGTTTTAATAAGGCTGTAGCCCAAAGCCTTACATTTTTGTGGAAATTAAACTTTTCAGTTCCATACTAAAGACAGGACAGCCCCATGATATAAATCCAAGGGTGATAGTTTAGAGTGAGGACGATTTCTTGTTGACACGGAGATGGTTGAGTTCTTCTACAATAAATCTATGGGAGAGGCAAGTTGTGATGAGTTGGAAGTGTTGGTTGCCTTCATGGTCTCAAAGTTCTCTGTCAAGTTCACCTCAGCACTGCTGTACTGCTGTTCTGCTGTCAGGTTGGGAATGCTTGGCCAGTAGTGGTTCTCCACACGGTCCTCAACTGCCGGTGCTTCTCTGATCCACTGCCTGCCAGAAATGCAATTGTAGCAGAGGAGGCTGGTAAGGGGACAGAAGCCAGAGATGGTAACTGGCCACCGCCTGGCTGGGGAAGAGAGTGGTGGGCTCTCAATCCTAGCTCACATGCCAAGTGCCATTCTCATCCCAGCACCCAGCGGTGTCCCCCATAATGTGCACTGCCTGGCCTGAGGTAAATGGAGAGCTCAGCTAAGGCCTAAAGTTGAAAAGGGGCTTTCCAGAGGCCCCAGTGTGCTGGACATCTCACCAGCCATGGAAAGAGTCTGTGTCCTTGTGGCCACAGACAGGCAATGATGGAAGACTGCCCTCATTTCAGGGCCTTCTGGAGTCTTCACTTGAGAGTTCAGCTCTGGCAACAGAGGACACTTCAGGTGTCCAGAGATTCTCAGTGCCTGGAGGATGTAAAACTGATTGATGGCATCTGCTGGCTTCTGGGAGCACTGCTTAGCCATCCTTATCTGTGAGCCCCAGCCAAGGCACTGCAGAAAGCTTGGTCTCTGGCTAGCATTCTGGACTGTGAGACAGCGTAGCTGCAGCTAGCACTGGATGGAGAGAGTACAGTGTGGTGAAGTGGGGACAGTGGGCATTCTGCCACATGGCCTGGGGTTTCTTGTGACTCTGGACTGCCCAGGTGCAGTGACCAGAAGGCAATCCGTTTCTAGGCCACAGCTAAAGGAGGGAGAACACAGGCTGAGCCTGGTGATGGTCCTGAGTTGAGGAGATGAAGCTGGGATTCCAGGGAGACTAAAGAAGCTCAGATAAACTCTGCAGGGCAGAGTATTCAGGGCATGAAGAGGACAAAGTCACAAAACAAAAAAGCTCCAGAGTCTTCAGCTAAATACTGATCAGCACCTGTATGTGTGTAAACTACAAGTCTGGGGGGAAAAAATACCTGAAGGAAACAGAAAGAAGAATGCTTGAACCTCCCACAGAACCAGGCCTATTTGGTGTTCCCACCAGCAACAGTGGACAAATCTTATACTTCCCAGACCATTGGATGGAACACTCAGAAAAGAAATGCCTCAGTAGTGTGGAAGATTAGATCTAGGCCGAGGCTGCTAAGGTCCTACTTAACAAGACCTCAAAGAAAACCCTCAAAGAACCAAAATCTTTCCAGATAATTTAACTACATCTTAGAACATAGCTCAATAATATTTATAGGAACCCAACAATATCAAACACACAATAAGATACATTTCATGTTGTCTGCCATCCAGCTGAAAATTACCAGGCATGTGAAGAAAAAGGAAATGTCTCAATAATGAGAAGAAAACTTGATCAATAGATACAGAAATGGCAAATAGACAGAATTAGTAGGAAACAATATTAAAACTCTTATTGTAATGATAACATTCCACAAGAAGAAGGTAAAGGGAAGCTAGAACATGGAAGTAGAGACATGGAGGATCCAGCTTGAACTTCTAGAGATGAAAAATAGAATGTCTGAGATGAAAAATATACTAAATTACATTTAAAATAAAATAGCAATTATACAAAAAAGGATTAGTCAACTGGAAGATGTAGCAGTAGAAACTATCAAAAATAGAACGTGGAGAAAATAATGGAAAAAATTGAACAGAAAATCAGCACCAACAGGACTAATATATTTGCAATTGGAGTTCCTGAAGAAGGTTGGGAGGAGTAGAAGAAAAAAATATTTGAAAAAATTGTGGCTGAAAAAATTTAAATTTGAGAAAAACTGTAAATCCAGAGATCTAAGAACCAATGAACCTCTAGCACAAGAGACATGAGGATGACACACTGAAGCACATCATAATCAAATTGTCCCAAACCAGTGACAAAGAGAAAATCTGAAAGGTTACCAAAGGGAAAAGAACATTATACAGAGAGAAACAGAGATGAAAATAGGCTGAGCGTGGTGGCTCACACCTGTAATCCCAGCACTTTGGGAGGCTGAGGCAGGATGATCACTTGAGCCCAGGAGTTCAAGACCAGCCTGGGCAACATGGCAAAACCCCGTCTCTACTAAAAATACAAAATTTAGCAGGGCATGGTGGCACACATCTGTAAACCCAGCTACTCAGGAGGCTGAGGCAGGGAGAATCGCTTGAACCTGGGAGGTGGAGGTTGCAGTGAGCTGAGATGGCACCATTGCACTCCAGCCTGGGCAACAGAGTGAGACTCTGTCTCAAAAAAAAAAAAAAAAGACGGCAAACATCTTGTTAGAAACAACACAAGTCCAGGCGTGGTGGCACATGCCTGTTATCCCAGCACTTTGGAAGGCCACGGCAGGATGATCACTTGAGCCTCAGATCCTGTTTCTGTGAAGTGGTATAATGTTGATGGCAGCCAATGCTAAGTTAAATATATATACTGTATTATTCTGTTCTTGCACTGCTATAAAGAAATGTCTGACACTTCTCAAAAGAAGACATTTATGCAACCAAAAAACAAATGAAAAAATGCTCATCATCACTGGCCATCAGAGAAATGCAAATCAAAACCACAATATAATCACTGGCCATCAGAGAAATCCAAATCAAAACCACAATGAGACACCATCTCACACCAGTTAGAATGGCGATCATTAAAAAGTCAGGAAACAACAGGTGCTGGAGAGGATGTGGAGAAATAGGACCACTTTTACACTGTTGGTGGGACTGTAAACTAGTTCAACCATTGTGGAATTCGGTGTGGTGATCCCTCAGGTATCTGGAACTAGAAATATCATTTTACCTAGCCATCCCATTACTGGGTATATACCCAAAGGATTATAAATCATGCTGCTATAAAGACACATGTACACATAAGTTTATTGCGGCACTATTCACAGTAGCAAAGACTTGGAACCAACCCAAATGTCCAACAATGATAGACTGGATTAAGAAAATGTGGCACATATACACCATGGAATACTATGCAGCCATAAAAAATGATGAGTTCATGTCCTTTGTAGGGACATGGATGAAATTGGAAATCATCATTCTCCGTAAACTATCGCAAGAACAAAAAACCAAACACCGCATATTCTCACTCATAGGTGGGAATTGAACAATGAGATCACATGGACACAGGAAGGGGAATATCACACTCTGGGGACTGTGGTGGGGTGGGGGGAGGGGGGAGGGATAGCATTGGGAGATATACCTAATGCTAAATGATGAGTTAATGGGTGCAGCACACCAACATGACACATGTATACATATGTAACAAACCTACACGTTGTGCACATGTACCCTAAAACTTAAGGTATAATAGTAATAATTTAAAAAATAATAATAAATAAATTCAAAGAAAAAGAAATGTCTGAGACTGGGGCTGGGCATGGTGGCTCACGCCTGTAATCCCAGCACTTTGGGAGGCTGGGGTGGGTGGATTACGAGTTCAAGAGATTGAGACTGTCCTGGCCAACATGATGAAACCATGTCTCTACTAAAAATACAAAAAAAAAAATATGTGGGTTTGGTGGCATATGCCTGTAGTCCCAGCTAAGCTACTTGGGAGGCTGAGGCTACTTGGGAGGTTCAGAATCACTTGAACCAGGGAGGCGGGGTTGCAGTGAGCCGAGATCGCACCACTGCACTGCAGCCTGGGCGACAGAGTGAGACTACGTCTCAAAAAAAGAAAATGAGACTGGGTAATTTATGAAGAAAAGAGATTTAATTGGCTCACAGTTCTGCAGGCTGTACAGGAAGCGTGATTCTGTCATCTGCTTGGCTTCTGGGGAGGCCTCAGGGAGCTTACAATCATGACGGAAGGCAAAGGGGAAGCAAGCATATCTTATGTGACTGGAGCAGGAGGAAGAGAGTGAGGGGGAGGTGCCACAAACTATTAAACAACCAGATCTTGTGAGAACTCACTCGCTATATAGTACCAAGCGGGGATGGTGTTAAACCATGAGAAACTGGCTCCATGATCCAATCACCTCCCTCCAGGTCCCACGTTTGGCATTGGGGATTATGTTTCCACGTGAGATTTGGGTAGGGACACAGATCCAAACCATATGATATACCATAAACCATAGAGCAATGATTAAAACTCAAAACCAAACCAAGCAAAAATAGTTATATGTAAAAGGCCAACAAAGAAGATTAAATGAAATAAAAATACTCAACAAATTCAAAAGAAGTCAGAGAAAGAGGAAAAGGAGAACGAACTACAGATGGGACAAATAGAAAGCAAACAGGAAGTAGACCAATTAAAACCAAACTCTCTGGCATTCCACCAGTTGCTTGTGATTATGTAGCAACCCTCTGCCTCCGACAACAATACCTGTCACACAGGGTTGTCATCAGAGCTTGCCACATGTGATATGGAAAGCCTGCTGTTTGCAGACCTGCAATCATTATATATTAGCTCTTATCGTTGGTAGCGGAGACCCAGGTCTCTGTGTTGGTCATGCTGAGAGCTCACTTCTCATTGCTTTGTTTTCCTCCTACTTTAATCCTTGTCCGTACTTCCACGCCCCACACCATCTGGCTGGAGAAGATTCTCAGCCTCCCGGTCTACAAATGTTCAAAGTCCATGAATCAAATAGCAAACAAATGTATTTCTGTACGTCTATCTGCTACCCAGGGATCCAGGAGAAATGCTTTCCTTCCTTCAAGAAGTCCGTGGCTGCTGATGCCAAGAATGCTTTCTCTGTCCTCTTGTCTTTTCTGATCTGCATATTCTCTGCTGCCCTGCACTGCTGGGAAGACTTTACACAGGGACAACTATGAGTTTTTGTAAGAAGATGAGAAGTCACCACTTTGGGAACCATCCATTAGACGTTCCAATATTGCTGCAGACATGGACTCTAGCATGTTCTGTTCTTCTCTGACACCCACCCCTTCCCCCATTGGCAACAGCAACTTGGGTTTGCTGTTCAGCTATGGCAGTGCCTACCCCTGGGGAACTGTGACTTGCTTTCTACCCTATCCAATAACACAGTGTGTCCTTATACACAGTAGATGTTCAATATACATCTGTTGAAGGGATTTCATCACAGTTAAATCTGTGGAGAGTTCAGCAGATAAGTGAGTTGCTCAAGATGGTCAGAGGCTGTCTCATTCCATTTGGGCTGCCGTAACAAAATACCTTAGCCTAGGAGGCTTATAAGCAGCAGAAATTTATGTCTCATAGGTCTGGATGCTGTCAAGTGGAAGGTCGAGGTAGTGGCAGATTGGGTGTCTGTTGAGGGCCTGTTCCTTATAGAGGGCACCTCCTAGCTGTGTCCTCACATGGTGGAAGGAGAACAAGCTCCCTTGGCTCCCTTTTACAAGGCCACTTATCCCATTCATGGGGTCTTTGCTTTCATGATGAAATCACTTCCTAAAGTCTTTGCCTCCTAATTCAAACCTAACTTATCAGGGGTTAGGTTTCAACACACGGATTTTAGGGGCACACAAACATTGACTATAGCAGAGACATAGCTGCACCTGGGTCTGGGACCTTCTGGGTCCAGCTCCATTATGACACTCACACTGCACATGGTCTCCCAAATGATGTAATTCTGTTCTGTGACATTGTGCCCATGAGTCAGGGATGCAGTAGAGGCCTCTGCAGACATGGCTTGTTCTTGGGACATCCGCCTGGCTTTGTGCTGCAGGCCTGGAAGAATCCACCAGCTGCCCACTCTCATGCCTGATTCAGGTTCGTGGGTCCCTCCAGGCACATGTCAGATAGCCCACTCAATTTTTTACTTGCCCCACTTCCCTGGGTTCCCTTCTGAACTCAGGAACCATGGAGGGAGCTGAGAGTCTCTGTTTTTAGTTCATGCTCTTGTCTCCTATTTGGGAACAATGCCCAGGCAAGGCAATCTCTTTCCTACTGTTTTCTAAGAACATCAGGGGCTTCCTCCAAACCCTTCACCCACTCTCTCCACTAATCCCTTCTCCCTCAGGGACACAGAGCACAAGCCCACCTCCTGTGTGAAGATCCTGCCACAGGGTGGATTTTTGGTTTTCTGTGGGTATCCAGAGAAGAAGCTAAAGGTGAATGTACTCTGGAATCCAGGAGCTCTGGCGATTTTCTCTCCTTAGCTCAGCGAGCATCCCCACAGATACCCCTCGCCCCACCCCAGGCCCCTTGAATCCATACCATAAAATGTATGTCAGTTTGTTCAACTAAGGACCCCGCTGAGTATTTAATCCCTATTTAAGGATGATGTTTATTTTATTTTTGAGTTTAAATTAATCAGCCTCAGGATCCACAATTAGATAAGGCTGAGATTTAGCTCCCCTGGAATGATTTATTTCACTTCAAGCCTTCTTAACTCTTTGGCTGCAGAGGGGAAGTGCCTGTATCTTTCTCTGCAGAGTTGCCTAGGGCTGGCCAGGTGAACAGACACGCTCCCTCCTCCCCATCGTTCCAGCCAGGACACGGTGTGTGCTTATGATGCAGGGAGTTAGAATACTAGCCTTCTCATCACAACAGTCATAAATCCTCACACAGGGAAATAGAGATAATATACAAGTAGGAAAAAAAGAAAAAGAAGCAGTCTTGAATTCTGCTACCTAAAGATAACCATTGTTACCATGTAGGCAAGCTTCCTTTCATGCTGTGTCAAGTATTTAAAAAATATGCCTCAATATTACAAACACACAGGACTATGTAGAGGATAATGATATCAAACTTTCATGTACCTCCCAGTTAAAATTCAAACGTGGTAGCTTTTGGATGCATTTGCTCCAGAGTTTAAGGGAAGAAAACTACGGATTCAACCATAATGTTCATGCTGACCCTCGAGTTATATGTCCCTTTTCTAGTCCAGTTACCGCCTCCCTCCCCACTATTCTGAAGTCAATGTGTGTCTTCCCATCCATGTTTAATACCTAGTGTGCATGTCCATGAAGAATGGATAGTGTTCTTTGGTCTGTTTTTGCAATTTTATACAAATAGCAGTCCATACATACTCTCCTGAAAGTTGCTTTTCCCTTCAACAATATCTTCCAGATGAATCTAGAATTCTGCATTTCTGGTGAGCAGAGGATGCGCCAACCCCCTGCAATCCCCACCCCAAAGTGATGCTGATGTTCTGGTCCAAGACCTGCACGTAGCCTGGTGAGGCTTGGAGTCCTGGGACAGGTCTGTTGTCAGCCCTTTCTTCCTAGGAAGCACAGCCAGATGACCTTGGGGCTGGAGACCTCACAATGCCCCTCGCCAGCAGTGCGCACATCCGTCTTCACTCATCTTCATCAATATTTGTTATCGCACTTTCTGATATTGTTCCTGTATTTTGCTGTGCAGCTGAATGCATGCCTTGTGTTTCCCAGCCCTTCGGGTCTCCTCCTCTGTGAATTGCTCCTGGCCCATATGTCTGTTGGGTCTTTGGTTACTCCTTGCTGACTTGTAAATGCTATTTTTTTTTAGACGGAGTTTTGCACTTGTTGCCTAGGTGGGAGTGCAATGGCATGATCACAGCTCACCGCAACTTCTACCTCCCAGGTTCAAGCGATTCTCCTGCCTCAGCCTCCTGAGTAGCTGGGATTACAGGTAAGCGCCACCACGCCTGGCTAATTTTGTATTTTTAGTAGAGATGGGGTTTCTCCATGTTGGTCAGACTGGTCTCGAACTCCCGACCTCAGGTGATCCACCCACCTCAGCTTCCCAAAGTGCTGGGATTACAGGCATGAGCCACCACGTCTGGCCAATTTTGATTTTAATGATCTGGATATCAATGCTTTTTTGGCCAAATATCTTACAAATATGTTTTCCCTATTGGTGCACTGTATTAGTCCATTTTCACATTGCCAATAAAGACATACCCCAGACTGGGAAGAAAAAGAGGTTTAATTGGACTTTCAGTTCCACATGACTGAAGAGGCCTCAGAATCATGGTGGGAGGTGAAAGGCACTTCTTACATGGCAGTGGCCAGAGAAAAAAGAGGATGATGCAAAAGTGGAACCCCCTGATAAAACCGTCAGATCTCGTGAGATTTATTCACTACCAGGAGAATAGTATGAGGGAACCACTCCCATGATTCCAATTATCTCCCACCAGATCCCTCCCACAACACAGGAGAATTATGGGAGGACAATTCAAGATGAGATTTGGGTGGGGACATGCAGCCAAACCATATCATGCACTGTCTTTGTCTTTTAACTTTATTCATGGCCTCTTTTGTCAGATCAAAGCTACTACACTTAATACGATTGAATTTATCAGTAATTTCTTTTATGATGTCTGTGTTTTGTGTCATATTAAAAAAACGTTTTTCTCTGTTTAGTGTCATAAAATCTGTCCTCTGTTTTCTTCTAAAAATTGGAAATCTGCTTTTCATATTTTGTTTTATTTCCTTTGTTCTTTAATTCATAGGGATGTGAGGTAGAAATCTCTATTAGTTAACTCTTGCTCTGTAACAAGTAACCCCACACCTCAGAGGCCTAAGACCATAGGCCACCATTTCTCACTCATGAGCATGGGTTGCTTGGGAGGTTTCAGCTCGAACTGTGGTGGCTGAGCTGGATCTGCTCCAAGTGTCTCTGATCCTCCTCGGGTTGGGGCCTGCCAGGGTGCCTTCTTCTCATGGCAATGGCAGGAGTGCAAAGAACAAAGGGAAATGTGAAGGTCTCTTATCTTACCACCCAGGCTCAGAATGTGCAGACTACCACTTTACCACATCCATTGGCCAAAGTAAGTCACATGGCCAAACCAGAAGTCAAGGGCAGGAAGTTTAAGTATGAATCCCATCTCCACGTGCTATGATTTCCTGGGCTTTCAACTTCTTAAGGCTGAATTGTTTTATTCTCACCTCCCCAGCCTGCAGAAAATACATTTTCTCCAGTACTTGTTGAGCCATAGGGCAGAATGATTGTGGTTGACAAGGACTAGATGGAACTCAAGGCTCCAGCCTCTGTGCAGTGGACCGGTGCCATCTGGCCACCAAGGCCACTTCCTTCCCCTTGTCCCCATCTAGGGCCTCTGTTCTGTGCCAATCTCACTGTCATTCTGCCCAGGCCTTCCAGGCATCAGCCTCTTAATAGTTCCTGGCTTCGTTCCCTCTCTTCACTTCTATTATGTGAGGGTTTCCATCCTTATTTGGTGTAGGAGGACTTGGCTCAGTCAACTCAGCCTGTCACGTCCCCAGTCTCAGCACTTGGGTACCCCTGAGTGCTCAGCATGAGTGGAGTCCCCCGGCGTCTCCTTCCACAGCACGTTCTGAAGGCATAGGAGCTGGACTGACATTTGGGACTCCTAAACCTTTGTTCCACTTCTGTCATGACAGCTTCATTGGTCCAGGCAAATCATGGCAGCTCTCTATGCCTCATTTTTTTATTCCTCACACAATGGAATGACATAACCGTCAGTGCTTACCTAAGGGAGGAGAAATGATTCCCCTGCCTTCTCCCCATTTCTGCATTTGCCAGAGCATCAGATTTTTGTGTCTGGCCAAGAATATAGGGAAGGAAGAGCAGGTAAGCTTTGGGCACAAAGAGGGCGTTTAGGGGTTTCACTTAAGGAAAGAAAGTCAGGGTGCAGAGAGGGGTGGTGGAGCATGATCTTGGGCCAATGGTGAGGAACTAATGAAGTGCAATGTTCATGGGTTAGGTTTTGTAGCAGCCTGGGTCCCATCAAGAGATAGAAACCACATAGTGGGTCTAACGGGGAAGTGTAGTATAAAGGATTGCAACTGTGATAAAAGAGTCACTGTAAGACATAAAGCAACCCTGCCTGGTGCCCTAGTGCAGAGGGAGGTACCCAAGGAAGCACAGATTTGAAAGGTGTTCAGATGTCATAAAATGTGGTTCAGCCACCACATAAGAGATGCTCGTGGATTTGGGCAGGCTGGAGCTAGTCAGCAGCTTCTGCACAAGCACTAGGCCACCCACTGGAGTGCAGGTGAGGGAGCTGGCCGTGAACCGCTGGAATGCAGGGGAAGGAGCAGGCCGTGAGCCGCTGGTGTGCAAGGAGGGGAGCCGGCCGTGAGCCGCTGGTGTGCAGGGGAGGGAGCCGGCCGAGAGCCGCTGGTGCAGGTGAGGGAGCTGGCCATGAGCCACTGGAATGCAGATGAGGGAGCTAGCCGTGAGCCGCTGGTGCAGGGATGCATGGCGGGAGCCTGGCTGCCTTTGTAGGGCAGGAAGCCTCCAGAATGCCTGAGTCCCGCAGGGTCTGGCAGAAGGAATGGCAGCTCTGTGCGGACCCTCTAGAATACAGATCACTGTGTGCAGGTTGCCCAAGGGGTACAAGATGGGGTCTGGGAAAATTTTCAGGAACTTTCAGATCACATGTGCTCTGCTGCATTTTGGTTTCCATGTCGAGATGTTGCAAGCCAAGGCTACAAGGTGGCTGAGGGACCAAGCCTAGGTCTGTGGTTGGGGCTTGAACATGATCAAGGCCCAGCCAGAGAGCTCCTGCCCCTTGCAGTCTCTCCGTCCTCTACATAGATGCCTGCAGAATGTTCACTCCCAGAAGGCATATTGAACAGTGTTTCCCCGTTTATCACAGTGCACGTATTGAAAGGTGCACTAGGAGCTGGGAGGCAACAGACTGAAAACTGACACTGGAAACGTTGGCTCATAGCAACTAAGAGAAGCTGAAAAGGAGTGGGGAGGAACTAACTGTAATTTTACATCAATGATCTGCATCTTTGTTTCGATTGATTGTGGCAACCAAAATGACTATTCTTTCTACCCTCCTAGTTCAGTCATAGCCTGAGACTTTTTTTTTTTTTTTTTTTGAGATGAAGTCTCACTCTGTTACTCAGACTGGGGTGCAGTGGCTGGTCTCGACTCATTGCAATCTCCACCTCCCAGATTCAAGTGATTCTCCTGCCTCAGCTTCCAGAGTAGCTGGGGCTAACAGGCACCCTCCACCATGACTGGCAAATTTTCGTATTATAAGTAGAGATAGGGTTTCTCCATGTTGTTCAGACTGGTCTTGAACTCCCGCCCTCAGGTGATCTGCCCGCCTCTGCCTCCCAAAATGCTGAGATTACAGATGTGAGCCACTGTGCCCGGCTGCCTGAGACATTTTGGGCAACAGCTGTGACAGAAGAAACGTGCATCCCTTCTGTGCAGGGGATTTAAGAAGTGGCTCATGGCTGATTATGTTTTCTTTGCTCTGTTTCTGGAACTGTGGGAGCATCTTCTGGGATAAGGGTCTATCTGTTTGAGTCTCTGAATGACTACGACCACCAGAGCCCCCTTGTTGGCCCGTGATGGATGCGAAATCAATTCAGAAGTAAAGGCCGGGTGCGGTGGCTCACGCCTGTAATCCCAGCACTTTGGGAGGCTGAGACGGGCAGATCATGAGTTCAGGTAATCGAGACCATCCTGACTAAAACGGTGAAACCCCATCTCTACTAAAAATATAAAAAATTAGCCAGGCATTGTGGCAGGCGCCTGTAGTCCCAGCTACTCAGGAGGCTGAGGCAGGAGAATCTCTTGAACTCAGGAGGTGGAGGTTACAGTGGTCTGAGACTGCACCACTGCACTCCAGCCTGGGTGACAGAGTGAGACTCCATCCACCGCACCCCACCCCCAGCAAAAAAAAAAAAAAAAAGAAAAGAAGTCAACTTTGCTGTTGAAGCCACTGAGGTTTGGGGGCTTGTTTGTTACACAGCGTCACCTGTCCTGACCAATGCATGACTCATTTCATCCTTGGCACAGCCCCTGAGAGAAGGGCCTTTATCCTCATTTCATGAATGAAGAGTCAAGTCTCAGAGATGTTAGCAGCTTGAGCAAGCTCACACAGTGAGGGGTGGAGCTTGGATTTGGATCCAGGTCTGTCTAACCTCAAAGACTGAAGTGGGGATGAAAATAAGTTGTCATTGTTGTTTACCTGTCACCCAGGTGATGTAACTCTTGTCTCGGCTCTGCCTACGGGGGCTTTGTAACATATCTCTGCACTGATTACCCAGGTGATGTAACTCTTGTCTAGGCTTTGCCTACGGAGACTTTGTGACATAGCTCTGCACTGATCACCCAGGTGATGGAACTCTTGTCTAGGCTCTTCTATCCTTGGATCATAACCTTGCAGGATCTTGAACTCATATCCTTTCAGGGATCGTAGAAGTGAACACATCAAAGCTGCCATGATAAAGTTGTATAAAAGTGGGCAATATTGCCAAATGCAAAATATCTGGGTTATATTTTGGTCTGAGATCACCATTTGAGATCCTGGAAGTTAGGGAATATGGAGGCCAACTCCCGTAGGTATGTTGTATAAGACTCCAAGCCCTAAGTCAGTGACCTCAACCCTGTGGATCAGCACTCTCCATGTAATGGGGCATCTTAACCCATTTTGTGCTGCTATAACAGAATACCATAGACTAGGGAATCTATAAAGAAAAGAAATTTATTTCTTAGAGTTCTGGAGGCTAGGAAGTCCAAGGATGAGGGGCTCTGCATCTGGTGAGGGCCTTCTTGCTGTGTCATCTCATGGCTGAAGGCAGCAGAGCAAGACTTTCAGAAAGAAAGAGAGCAAAAGGGGCTGAACTTGCTTTTAATACAAGTGCGCTCCCAAGATAACTAACCCACTCCCCAGATAACTAACCTATTCCTGAGATAGTGACATTAATCCACGCATGGGGGCAGAGTCTCATAACCCAATCACTCTTATTAGGCCCCACCTCTCAACACTGTCACATAGAGGATTAAGTTTCCAACACTTGAGCTCGGGGGGACACATGAAGACCATACATGGGGGATTGATAAGTATATGGGAGGGACCAGTCATGAATATTTTGGCTGAGAGTTGTGTTTGGGAACTGAAGCCATGCTCCATCATGGCAGGGCACACATAGACCTTTGAATGCTCTGAGGAATGAATATTGAACAGTGTAACTCATGGCAGAAGGTGGAATATTTAAAAGGCAGAACTGCCTGGGTCAACTAAAAGAGTGAACAAACAGCCTGTAGCCTGTGGCTGGCTCCTCTTCTCTTCCCATCCCCACCTTTCACCTTTCTCTCTTTCTTTCTTTCCCTGCCTCCCTCTCTCTCCCTTCCTTCCCTCCCTCTTTCCTTCCTTTCTTCCTTCCTTCCTCTACCTTCTTCTTTCTCTCCCTCCCTGCTTCCTTGTTTCTTTCCTTCTTTCTCTTTCCCTCTTTCTCTCCCTCCTTCCTTCCTTCTTTCTCTCATTTCCTTCTTTCTTTCTCTCTCTCCAACTTTCTCTCCCTCCATCTTTCTCTCCCTCCATCTTTCTTTCTCTCATTCTTTCCTTCCATCTCTCTTTCCTTCTTTGTCCCCTTCCATCCTTCCTTTCTTCCTCCCTCCTTCCTAACTTCCTTTCTTCTCTCTTCCTTTGACTGATGTGTTCTGAGCCCAAGCACCCTGTGGGGTACTAAGTGGTACCAAAATTGACTCAAGAATCAAGAAGAAATAGAAAACTAAGAAGTACTATAACATGAAGAACATAAAATCTCTAGTAAAATAAAATCTTTCACAAAGGAGGGACTAGGCCCAGATGGTTGTATGAGCAAATTTTACAAACTTGCAAAGAATGGATCATTCTAATTATGTTCCAAACAACTGTAGCTAGGAATATTAATGCTTGATTTTTCAAGAGCTTCATTTCCTAAAATCTGTAAGTTCAAAGGTAGATTGGCCTGTGTTGGAAATCCTCAAATATTGTGCAGGTCCGTGGAGTTTTAGCATTAAAAAAGAAAGGGCTTGCCTGCATTAACTTTGAATTTTGTAACAGTTACCAGTTAATGGAGATACTCTATGCATTTATATACACTCTGATTTCATAGGAATGGAGGCATATCAGACACGGCTCTCCACCCAGGTTTTTTCCTTTGTAACATATCTTAGACATCATTTTTGAGCATCCTTTTAAAATTTATTTCTTTAAATAGCTGCATAGTAGTCTATCATATGAATAACCATAATTTCAATAAACAGTAAGGTGTTAATCATTAATGTGATTGATAAACATTAAGGTGATTTCTAGACTTTTGTTAATTAAAAAGGTGATATAATACTTTCTCCCATTCATACATAATTCCAGGCATCATGAGTATGTCTGTAGGGTAAATTTCTGGAAATGAAATTGCTGAATCAGAGAATATTTCCATTTATAATTTTGGTATATATTGTTTAATTACAATTGATATAGTTTTTACTAATTTATAATCCCAGTAACAAGATGTGAGTACCACTTCAAACTCCACAACTTCACTGGCAGTGCTTGAAGTCATGATGCCTATTGCCAGCCTCTCTTCAAGTAAAGTTCTATTAACTCTACAAAAATTTTATAAATGGCAGACTTTACATTTCCAGATAGCTTTGTGGTAACCAAAAAAGAATTGATTTATTAGCAATTTGTATATCACATTGAGACAAAATATATTTGTGATAAATATCATTATTGTTACATAATTAAAACATCTCATGTATTAAGAAATCATACTCTAGATGGGGTCAAACTGGCCGACTAGAAGCAGCTGTGTCCCATGGCTCTCACAGAGAGCAATGAAAACTGTGAGTGAATTCTGCACTTTCAATTGAGGTATTCAGGTTCTTGCATTGGAACTGACTGGGCAGACAGCTCGACCCACAGAGAGTCAGGAAAAGCAAGTGGGTCAATGACCCATCCAGGTGTGGCTAGCCGAGCCCCCACTCGCAGGCAAGGGAGGCCATGAGTGATTGTTCGACTCTGCCCAGGAAACCATGATTCTCCGATGGATCTTTGCAACCTGCAGATGAAGAGGTCCCCTCAAGAGCTCAGCCACCACGGCCTTGGGTCTGAAGCACAGAGCTGTGTAGAGTCTCAGCAGAGTGCTCGCTGGCTTACTGGGGCATGCATGGAAACCCAGGAATTTTGCATACTCTGCCCAGAGAATTCCAGCAAAGTGGGAGATACATCTGTGCATTCCCCTATGAAGAGGGCTGAATCCAGGGAGCCAAGTGACATCATTCTGAGGCCCCACTCCCACAGCACCTCATAAGACCCATTGGCTTGGAATTCCAGCAGGCCAGTGGCAGCAGGCTGGAGATAGCCGGAGGTGGACTGAGTTCCCAGGGGGAGGGGCAGCGGCTCTATCTGTGGTTTGAGTTGGCTGCTCTAGCCTGCTGGCACCAGGGACCAGGAGGAGTCCCCTATAACACAGTACAGCTGTTGTGACTGATTGTGGCCAGGCTGCTTCTTTAAGTGAGACTGAAATCCATCCCTCCTCACTGGACAGGGCCTCCCCATCAGAATTTTAGCAACTCCAGCCGAAGTTCTATGGACAGAACTCTGATTTCTCCCTGGGATGAAGTCCCCAGGGAGAGGGGTAGCTACTGTCTCCCCAGTTCAGCCAACTGAACCTTTCCAGCCTGCTGGCTCTGCAGACTCCTGGGGATCAGAACAACACACCTGCTCTGCCAAAGGGCAGCCAGACTGCTTCTTTAAGCAGTCCCTGATCCTGTTCCTCCTGACTGGGTGAGACCTCCCAACAGGGGTCACCAGAAACCTCCTACAGGAGCGTTCCAGCTGGCATCAAGTCAGTACCCCCTTGGACTGGTGCTCCCAGAGGAAGGATCAGGTTGCCATCTTTGCTGTTTCGCAGCCTTTACTTGTGATACCTCCAGGTGCATGTATGTGAGATAAGGCCCCCAAGGAGAGGTAATAAAAATCAATTCAAGATGGATTAAAGACTTAAATGTTAGGCCTAAAACCATAAAAACCCTAGAAGAAAACCTAGGCAATACCATTCAGGACATAGGCATGAGCAAAGACTTTGTGACTAAAACACCAAAAGCCATGGCAACAAAAGCCCAAATTGACAAATGGGATCTAATTAAAGTAAAGGGCTTTTGCACAGCAAAATAAACTATCATCAGAGTGAACAGACAACCTACAAAATGGGAGAAAATTTTTGCAATCTATCTGTCTGACAAAGGGCTAATATCCAAAATCTACAAAGAACTTAAACAAATTTACAAGAGAAAAACAGCCCCATCAAAAAGTGGGCAAAGGAAACAAGCAGACACTTCTCAAAAGAAGATATTTATGCGGCCAACAAACATATGAAAAAAAGCTCATCACCACTGGTCATTAGATGAATGCAAATCAAAACAACAATGAGATACCATCTCACTCCAGTTAGAATGGCGATTATTAAGAAGTCAGGAAACAGCAGATGCTGATGAGGCTGTGGAGAAACAGGAATGCTTTTACACTGTTGGTAGGAGTGTAAATTAGTTCAGTCATTGTGGAAGACAGTGTGAAAATTCCTCAAAGATATAGAACCAGAAATACCATTTGACCCAGTAATCCCATTATAGGGTATATACCCAAAGCATTATAAATTATTATACTATAAAGACACATGAACTGTATGTTTATTTCAGCACTGTATGTTTATTTCACCACTGTTCACAATAGCAAAGACTTGGAACCAACCCAAATGCCCATTAATGATAAACTGGATAAAGAAAATGTGGCACATATACACCATGGAATACTATGCATTTATGTCCTTTCCAGGGACAGGGATGAAGCTGGAAACCATCATTCTCAGGAAACTAACACAAGAAAAGAAAACCAGGCCAGGAGCAGTGACTCATGCCTGTAGTCTCAGAACTTTGGGAGGCTGAGGTGGGGAGTTTGAGATCAGCCTGACCAACATGGAGAAACCCCGTCTCTACTAAAAATACAAACAATTAGTCAGGCATATTGGCACATACCTGTAATCCTAGCTACTTGGGAGGCTGAGGCAGGAGAATCGCTTGAACCCAGGAGGCAGAGGTTGTGGTGAGCCGAGATCACGCCATTGCACTCCAACCTGGGCAATGAGAGTGAAAATTTGTCTCAAAAAAAAAAAAAAAAAAAAGAGAGAGAAAGAAAAAGAGAAAAGAAAACCAAACACTGCATGTTCTCACTCATAAGTGGGAGCTGAACAATGAGGACACATGGACACAGGGAGGGGAACATCACACACTGGGGCCTGTCATGGGGCGGGAGGCTAGGGGAGGAATAGCGTTAGGAGAAATACCTATGTAGATGACGGGTTGATGGGTGCAGCAAACCACCATGGCACGTGTATAACTATGTAACAAACCTGCATGCTCTGCCCATGTATCACAGAACTTAAAGTACAACAAAGAAAACTTTACATAAATGCATAAAGTCTAGAACAGCTAATATATTATAATGAAATGTCAACTATAATCCCAGCTCAAAGAGAACGCCATAAAATTATGAAGAGCTCTCCACAAATCTCTAAATTTATGTCCTCATATGATTACATTTCTATTTCTTCTTGAATAATTTCCTCATTTTAGTTATGATTTAGTGATAGTAAGATGGTAATTATGAGGAGAAAATTCTGCCAACACTCCATAGAGAAAATTCTGCCTCATTTCACCACACACCTGAGTCTTAAGCAGTCACTTCTAATGTAGCTGAATAATAGATCCTCACCCAGCTGAGTCTATGAGTTGAATCCATGTATGTGAGATAAGGCCACCAAGGAGAGGTAATAAGCTGGGAATCCCATCATCTCATCTTTCTTCAGGCCTATATTTGTCATTGTCACTTGTAGAAGCAGGACAGCCCTGGCATTGGGATTGGTAGTAACAGAGAGTATCAAAGGGAAAACTGAACTTCACTAATTTTTGGAAAACAGCAGATTGGAAACAGATGGGCTCCAACGTTTTCCATGTGTGAGGTCATTGTCCCAGGTAGCCTTGCTCAGGACATTTCTTGTCTGCAAAACAGAAGTCAAACGATATTTCTACCTTCCAAGAGAATAGAACATAATGTCAGATTTTCTCATGGATTCCCACAAGTTCAAGAAACTTTCATGGCCTTATTTAACTGCTTAAGCAGTTCAATTAAAAAATTATTTGTCTTTCAAATACACAGGAATCTGTTTGGAAAAATGTTAACCAGAAAAAGTTGGAATTCTAAAGTAAAAAATGCATAAGGCCATAAAAATTTTTTATATCTTTTAATTTATATGTCAACTGGGGAAAAAAAACATTCTCTGAAGTTTCCTTTTATATCATTAAAGACTTATTCTTTATTACCAGCAATACAGGGCGACTTATTCAGGTTGAATCTTGAAGGTAAACTTTAACTTAATTTTAAGTTTTGGCTAATTTTTAAGCATTTCTCAGTCACCTTCCATGATTTCATCTCAGAAACCAAAATCTCAATTTCATTTAGACCTTTGAAATATTAAAATAGAAGGTTAAATGCTTCAAAATAATATTCATGTAGAGACTTACATATATGGACCAGTAATCTCCATGTATTACAAAGTTTATGAGAACATAACAAATGTTGATACACACATTTAATTCTGAAATAAAAACTTACAACAAATAAAACTAACAAATCAAGAAAATACTGTAGGTTACACATTTTATGTCTAAAAATATAGGTATGAAACACTCAAGGATGGATAAAGGAAGAAATCACAAGAGAAAAGAAAAAATATCTAGAGACAAATTAAAAACATGAAATAACAAAAGTTAAGAGATACATTAAAAATGGTACTATAAGGGAAAAATTTATAGCTATAAATGATTATAGAAAATAAGATACCAAATCAACAACTTTACTCCTAAGGAACTAAAAACAGAGAGAAAAAGAGGGACTATTAAAGAGGGACCACTAAAAGCTAGCAAAATTAAAAAAATGATAAAGATAGCAGTGGAAATAAGTGAAATAGAGAATAGAAAAACAATATCAAAAATCAACACAACCTAGTTTGTTCTCTGAAAAACATCAAAACTGACAAAATTTTATCTAGATTGACTAAGAAAGAAAGGGAATATTCAAATTACTAAACTCAAAAATAAAATGGGTACATTACTAACAAATTTTTGGAGTAAAAAAGGGGTGTAGGAGAGTACCATAAGGGACTATACACTAAAAAATTGAATAGCTTAAATAAAATGAACAAATTCCTAGAAACAAAAAACCTACTAAGACTGAATCAGAAAAGTTGAATAAACCTATTCAGCAAGGAGATTCAGCAGGAAGATAGCATCAGTAATCAAAAACCCAGCAACAAAGAAAAGCCTGGACCAGATGTTTTCACTGTTGAATTCTACCCAATGTTTAAAGCAGAATTAACACCGCTTCTTCTCAAACTTTTTCAAAACGTTGAAAAGGAGGTAGTTTTTTCTAACTTATTCTATGAGGTCAGTATTACCCTGACACCAAGCCAGAAAAAGGCACCATAAGAAAACTACAAACAAACATCCCTTATACATGCTGATGCAAAAATCCTCAACAAAATACCCGCAACTCAAACTTAGCAGTACATTAAAAGGATTATACACTATGAATGAGTGTAGTTGACTCCTGAAATGAAAGTATGTTCCAGCACATGAAAATCAGCGTAATATCACATTAACATAAGGAAAAAACCCTCATGTGATCATCTTAAGCAAAGAAGAAAAAGCATTTGTCAAAATTTAACCCACATTCATGATAAAATATACTTAATAAACTATAAAAAGAAAGAAAACACATTAACATAATGCTATACAAAAAACAAAACAAAAAAAAACCCAGCTAACATGGTGAAAGACTGAAAGCTTTTACCCTAAGAGCAAAAACAAGGATGCCTGCTTTTACTACTGCTATTTAGTATAGTACTGAAGTTTCTAGTTAGTTAAAACAATAAGGTGAGTAAAAGAATTAAAGATATTCCAATTTTTTAAAAAGTAAAACTATCTGTTTGCAGATGACATAACCTTATATATTAAAAATCTTTTAGTTTCTGTGAAATAAACTGTCAGATGCAATAAATAAAATTCAGCAAAGCTGCAGGATACAAAATAATACACAAAAATCAGTTGTATTTCTACAATAACAATAAACTATCTGAAGAAGAAATCAAGACAACAGTATCATGTATGATAGCATCAAAAGAATAAAATACTTAGAAACCCACTTAACCAAGGAAATGAAAAACCTGTACAGCAAAAACTACAAACATGGCATGAAAGTATTAAAGATGACACAAATAAATGAAAAGACATCATGTGTTTATGGACTGGAAGACAAAATCTTGTCAAGGTGCCATTGTTATCTATAGTCATCTACAGATTCAATAAAATCACTGTAAAAATTCCAATATTTGAAAAAATAGAAAAACCTGTTCTAAAATTCAGACGAAATCTCAAAAAACCCCAAGCAGCCAAATCAATCTTAAAAACTAACAAAGTTAGAGGACTAACACCTCCTGGTTTCAAACTTCAGTATGCAAAACAATGCTGTACCAGCATAGAGACAGACACAAAGACCAATGCAATAGAAATAAAGAACCAAAAAATATGGTCATGATTTTTAACAAGGGCGTCAACACTGTTCAATGGGGAAAGGACGGTATTTTCTAAAATGGTGTTAAAAACGGATATTTACATCTATCTATCTATCTATCTATCTATTTATATGTATATATATTTATATGTGTATATATATATATATCCCAAATTAGCTTTTTGTCTGTCATGTATGTTGCAGATCTATTTCCCCAGTCTGTTGACTTTTGACTTTGAGACATTTTTCTCTCATACAAAATTTTAATTTTTATGGAGTTAAATACAACCTCGGCGACGATCTGGTTCCCGCACTGCCCGGCCTGCGTGAGCACGATTTCCCTCATGGCCAAGGCGGGATTAGAGTGGCAGGAGAAACACGAGAAGGAGGAGCAGACGCGCAGCTACCCAGCCCACACTCCACCACCGCTGAAATAGCCCCGCGCCCACCTCCCTCAGCCTCGGATTCGGCTCACAGAATAAGCAACAGCTTTACTTCCACACAGGTGTACCCACCTGTGAATCCCTTGGCGTTAAAGGTCTGTTGGAGAGCTCAGGTGTCCTTGCTGTGGTCCTTTCCACGTTGGGGAAAGCTGGTCAGCTGGAGAACTTCCTCCCACATCTTTAGTAAGACTAAATCCCTAGCTGAGCTGAAACTGAATTTTCCTCCCATGTGGGAGTGGAAGACTCTTGTATCCATATTCACAGAGTGTCTTTGCACCTGTCCTAGATTGATGACATATTTTTGTAATTGATGAGTCTTTTCATCTATTAGGAGATCTGTGCTTAGGAAAGGTCTTCCGAATGTTAACTCAACAGGATTTAATTATAAGTTTTACTTTGGAACAGTTCAAACCCGCAGTAAGCTATGGGTGTTAGAGATAGTCAGGCTTCTGATTTAGCTAGAGTCTTCTTTAGAGTAGGATTAGCCCTTTCACCTTTCCAGAGGACTGCGGTCTGCACACAGAGTGAAGGTAATATTGGATTCTTAAAGCTGAGGATAGGTGTTGGGATACACCTGCTGTGAAAGACGGGCCATTGCCACTTTGCAGGCTTTTAGATTACCCAAACTGAGGAGTTATTTCTTCTGGTAAACATTTTTCAGATGGGGTGGGGAATGCCTCCATCTAACCAATAAAGGTATCAGTAAGCATTAGCAAATATTTGAATCTCCTGCAGAAAGGTAGCTGAGTAAATTAGAGTTGCCAGTTCTCACCTGGATAGGTTCCTCAATTTTGGACAGGTTTACCTGTAGAAGGAGAAAATTGCTAGCCGTTTGGGTCATGTCAGGCACAGAGATCACAGGGCTGAGTCACCTGTTTTGGTGTCTTGAAAAGATTTACCCCTATAAACAAATGAGACATTACCGGAAACCAAGAATCCCTTCTAGGGTGAAAAGAATCATGAAAGTGCTGAATTATATTCCTATGATTGGTACTTGGTATTAGTAATTTATTACCATCATTCAGCCAGCCAGAGGGACCCTGGACTGAAATGCAATCCCTGGCACATTTTTGTTCTTCTTCAGAGTGTTCTGGCTCAGTTCAATGTATGCTGACCAGCACACTCATAAGCTTCATTGGCCCTTTCAGTGCAGGGGCCTTGGCTGCAGCATCTGCAAGGGCATTTCCTTTTACATGGTCAGTCTCTCTTTTGATGTCCTCTGCAATTAATTATAGTCACTTTTTGGCAGCAAAACAGCATTCTAACAAGTTCAAAATCTGAATGATGTTGTATGGAAAAGCCCTTGGGGGTCAGGAGTCCCTACCCATTCCAAATTGCAGCATAAGCATGAAGCACTAAAAAGTCATACTTGAAATCAGTGTAAATGTTAACTTTTAAATCCTTTCCCAACTGCAGGGGCTGAGTAAGTTCAATTAACTCAGCTTTTTGGGCTGAGGTCGAAGCCAGCAAGGCTTGTGCCTTGATTCTCTTGTGCTGACTACTAATAGCATACCTAGCCCTCCTGTTCTCCTGATGCATAAAACAACTTGCATCTGTTAACCACTCTTCCTTGGGATGGTCAAGGGGCTCATCTCTCTTAAGTCTAGCCTGCTAGAATCAATTTGTTTCATAACCTATGACATGCTTCGGCTCTGTCCCCAGTCAAATCTTATCTTGAATTTTAGCTCCCATAATTCCTATATATCGTGGGAGGGACCCAGTGGGAAGTAATCGAATCGGGGGATGGGTCTTTCTCATGCTGTTCTTGTGACAGTGAAAAAGCCTCATGAGATCTAATGGTTTATTTATTTATTTTTGAGACATAGTCTTGCTCTGTTGCTCAGGCTGGAGTGCATTTACGTGATCTTGGCTCACTGCAACTTCTGACTCCTGGGTTCAAGCGATTCTCCTGTCTCAGCATCCTGAGTAGCTGGGATTAGAGGTGCCTACCACCATGCCTGTCTAATTTTTGTACTTTTAGTATAGATGGGGTTTCACCATGTTGGCCAGGGTGTCCTCGATCTCCTCACCTCAGCTCATCCACTGCCTTGGCCTCCCAAAGTGCTGGGATTACAGCTGATGGTTTTATAAAGGGGAGTTTCCCTACACAAGCCCTTTTGCCTGCTGCCATGTCAGAGATGTGACTTTGTTCCTCATTTGCCTTCTGCAATGAGTGTGAGGCCTCCCCGACCACGTGGAAATGTGAGTCAATTAAACCTCTTTTCTTTATAAATTACCCAGCCTCAGATATGTCTTTATTAGCAGCATGAGAACAGACTAATACAACCTGTATGCCAGAAAGGCTAGAAGTACCTGTGGACTCTGGCAGATAAGCAGCTGGGTTTATGGTTTGGCAGGCTTTAAGGATTATGTCTGGAGGGTCCAGCAATAAGGCCTGATACTTTCATAAATGTTCTCCTATTATCCACTCCTGCCCTTTAGCTTCTAGGACCACCTTCCCTTGGTGTGGGGTCAAAAACCTGTAGGTGCTCTTCTAATGTTAGTTTATTAGCTTTGTCTGCTAGAAAACTGGTAGCAGCAATAGCTCTAAGACATCAAGGCCACCCTGAGGCCACCTGGTCTATCTGCTTAGAAAATTAGGCTACTGGCCTTGGAATGTCCCCCCGTTTTGGGACAAGATTACCCAAGGCCTATGCCTTGATTTTTGGTCACATAAAGAAAAAATGGTTCATCCAACTTGGGGACTCCCACTTCTGCAGCAGAGCCCAATTTCTCCTTGAGAGTATTGAAGGTTTGCTTGCAGTTCTCATTACATTCTAGGAGCTCTAAATCTTTCCCTTTAATGTATCATATAAAGGCTTGGCTACATGCCCAAATCTGGGCACCCATAAGCAGCAGTACCCAGCCATCTCCTAAAAAAGCCCACAGTCATTTTTTGTACAGGGACCCTTGGGTGACTAAAATAACTTTCTTATCTCTAGGGATGTTGATCAGTTCCAGAGGTTAAGACAGATTCCAAATATTTAAGTCTTTCAGTCAAAATCTGAGCCCTGTGTGGTGATGCCCTATATCTGCAAGTTCCCAGGAAATTTACCAACTTAACAGTATTATTATGAGTCTTCTTTAGTTGGGCTAGCAATGAGCAAGTCACCTACGTACTGAATAATTGTGTCCCTTTCCAATTGTAGATTTGTTAAGTCCTTAACTAGAGCATTTTCATATAAGCGGGGTCTATCCCAGAACCCTTCAGAGATGACTGTCCAGGTTAGTTTTGAGGCTGAATGCGTATCTGGATCATTCCATTCAAAGGCAAACATATTATGAATCTGGATGCATTGAGATCCAGAAAAGTGCATCTTTCAGATATAAGAATGTAAACCAGCTTGCATCCCCTGGGACTTGGTAAGTATTTGGGACAATGAGGTGTACGGAGACAACTGCATTTCTTAATGCTCTAAGGGTTCTGACAAATCTGTACTTGCCATTAGGCTTTTTATCTGGTAACATGCGAGTATTGTAAGGAGACTCTCATGGCCTTAATAACTCATATGGCAAGAATTTGGCAATAAGGGGTTGAATTTCCCCTCATGCTTCTTGCCTTAAAATGTATTGTCTCTTCTGAGGGCGAGGAGCACTAGGCTGAAGTTGGATTTGAATGGGGGAGGTGTTTAGTGGTTTCCCAGAGCCTGTGTGGACCAAACCTCAAGATTTACTTGAGACAACATCTCAGGTGGTAAATGTGACAGCTCATTCTTAACTTCTTTTTTCCCCTGAGGGGTCAGGAACAAAAGTAACACTTTCTATGCTTTATGATCTGTGAAGTTGACCATGACTTGGTCTCCTGAGTCAATAAGCCTCTCCCCAGTAAGAGGTCAGGCAATCAGACAGTACTAAAAAGGCAGGCAAGATAGCTAGAGGCTCTGGAGGACAACTTAGAAGATACAAAAAGGAGTGTTTTGGGGCTTGTCCATCATGAGAAGACAGGAGCCCATTGTATTGAATCAGGACAGAGTAATCTGCTCCCACACCTAATACGAAGTTAATACTCCTACCTACTACTTCAAGAGTCACCTGAGGCTCCTCCATCTCTCGATAGCTAATAGTCCAATGGGAGCAGAGGTAGGAAGTATCAGGCCCTGCCACTTTTGATTCTGCTGGGCTCTGATGATGGCTCCCTTGGAAGCACAGTGCATTTCCTTCGGCAGTGGCTGACCTTCCTACAGAAGGCACATTGATTTATATCCAAGGCACGGTGGCCCAGAGGCACAGACTGGGACTTTCACCTTCTCACTTCCTCTGTGAGGGCCAGGGGTTAAGGGGCTGCCTCTGAAGTGGTGGAGAGCACAAGGCTGCAGCTAGAAGCTGGGCCTCTTGGAAGATTTGCTTTATTTTATGTTTTCTCTGCCGAATTCCTGTGATGGAAAACTGCAAAATCCAAGTCTAAAATCTGATCCATGGGAGTCTGGAAGCCTAAGGCTGCTTTTGGTGGCTTCCTATAGATATCAGAAGCAGACTGGGCTATAAAATAAACTCCTAGCAATGCTTGTCCCTTCTTGGAGTCAGGGTCAGTGTTAGTGTATTTCCTCAAGGTCTAAATTATCCACCCTTGTAATAGGGCTAGGTTTTCATCTTTTCCCTGAGTAATTTTCCAGACTTTATAAAAATTAAAAAGCTTTATCACACTTTTTTATTCATTCAAGGAGTCAAATGATCATAATTTTTTCTCTCTATATCACACTTTCTTCTTAATTCATTTGTCTTTTCTAGATTCTAGTTCTTTTGGGTCCTAGTCAGGCACTGCTATGCCTCCTATTTGATAGGTGTCTTGCCCCTTGTTGCAGGCTGCCACCCTATTAGCATGTGCTCTAGCCACTCCCGTAATGCACTGTTTATACCATGCAGCAGGTAAACATAAATATATGCAAATCCTGCCTGGTCAGATCATACATCAAGGTTAGCCTCTTAAATTTGTCTATGAATTTTCCCGGAACCTCTGAAAACTGTTTTATTTTTTCCTTACATATGGCTAATTCAGACGTAGAAAAGGGTACATATACCTATATAGTGTGGGGAAAAGAGAGATCAGACTGTTACTTTTTCTATGTAGAAAGAAGTAGACATAAGACGCTCCATTTTGTTCTGTACTAAGAAAAATTCTTCTGCCTTGAGATACTGTTAATCTGTAAACCTACCCCCAACCCTGTGCTCACAGAAACATGTGCTGTGTCGACTCAAGGTTTAATGGATTTAGGGATATGCAGGATGTGCTTTGTTAAACAAATGCTTGAAGACAGCATGATTGTTAAAAGTCATCACCACTCCTTACTCTCAAGTACCCAGGGACACAAAACAGTGCGGAAGGCCACAGGGACCTCTGCCTAGGAAAGCCAGGTATTGTCCAAGGTTTCTCCCCATGTGATATTCTGAAATACGGCCTCGTGGGAAGGGAAGGACCTGACCATCCGCCAGCCCGACACCTGTAAATGGTCTGCGCTGAGGAGGATTAGTAAAAGAGGAAGGCCTCTTTGCAGTTGATATAAGACAAAGCCATCTGTCTCCTGCTTGTCCCTGGGCAATGGAATGTCTCAGTGTAAAACCCGATTGTATATTCCATCTACTGAGATAGGAGTAAACCGCCTTAGGGCTGGAGGTGAGACATGCTGGAGGCAATACTGCTTTTTAAGGCATTGAGATGTTTATGTATATGCACATCAAAAGGACAACACTTTTTTCTTTACCTTTTTTACGATGCAGAGACATTTGTTCACACGTTTTCCTGCTGACCCTCTCTCCACTATTACCCCATAGTCCTGCCACGTCCCTCTCTCCGAGAAATGCCCGATAATGATCAATAAATACTAAGGAAACTCAGAGACTGGTGCCGCTGCGGGTCCTCCATATGCTGAGCGCCAATGCCCTGGGCCCACTTTTTCTCTATACTTTGTCTCTGAGACTCTTTTCACAAGTCTCTTGTTCCACCTGATGAGAAACGCCCACAGGTGTGGAGGGACAGGCCACCCCTTCAATATAGTGTCCCTATTATCATCTGTCACTTCCCAGAGAGGGCAAATATTCAACTTTGCCAGCTGATAAGAGGCCCCACTGCATGTTGTTCTGGTGAAGCTCGGGTGTTTCGAGAGTGGGGTATGTACATAAGACAGGAATCGAAGGGCAGGGAGGAGATGATGACCGGACACTAGATAGCCCTGGAAAACTAGAAGAAATTAATAACATGTTGCACACCTCACCAGAACTGGAAGGAGTCTGACTGTGTTCTTATGGGGTGCTTGGACTGGCAGGGGGAGTTCAGCCCCAGCTAAGAAAAGCCTAATATTAAGAGGTACTTGCATTAAAAGGGTAATAAATTACGTGCTGTTCCTATTTTGTCTTTTCCTCCATCAAACATATGGAAGCCCATTTTAATTTTTTATCCTGACCAAGCATCAGAGAAGCCTGTATATAATGCATTTTCTCCCTCTTAGTTTCTCTTCTATAAAACAAATTAAGCTGCAAAATAGGAGTCAGATCAAACAGGGGAAATAGGAAGGCTGTAGCTTGTATATTGTAATGTATTAGTCCATTTTCACACTGCTATGACAAAACTAACAAAACTCTCTCAGGAAAAAAGTGACATGCTGGGTTTAGAAAGTAGGGTCCAGCTGCCCTATACCAGCTGATCAAAGATGGCGTTATGGTTAAGAAATGAGAGAAAACTGTTAAGAAAACCCTCATGTTCTCCATCTTGAGGGTAATTGTTTGCAAAGGGTTGTCATAGAAGAGGCTGTCACTAAACAGGCATATCTGATCTTATCATGTAGAGCTCTTAAATACCACATTTCAACTTCTAGTCATAATGATGGCAAGGTTACTGCTGATCTTTTCTGATAATTACGGTAAAAAAAATACTAGGTTAGAAGACAATTCTTTTTTTCAGTGTCACTTGGACCAGTGGCAAATTAACCAAGCAGTCAGTTAAGAGTCAGAGGATCGATGAGGAAAGTAAAAGCTAAACTGTTTGTGGCCTCTGTCCTTGGGCAGCCTCCAGGCTACTACAAAACCGAGGCGGTGAGCAGAAAGGTGACAATATGTAGAGCACTCAGGTGAGGGACAGAGAGCACAAGGTGGACAGCCCAAAAAGAGAAAGTGGCAAATATCTTGTTTAGCCAAATCCATTCTTCTCAATATTTCCAGGGCCTCTAACCCTGTGGGCTTGACCTCTAAGCCCACTTGCCAGGTGTCAGCTGATTGATTCTGTGTGGATTTTTTTCTTTGGAGTGGGGGTCTTGTCTTGGTGTCCGTTCATGGTGTTGCTGAAAGATGTTGCTAAAAAGAGGGTCCTGATACAGACCACAAAGTAGGATTCTTAGATCTTGTGCAGGAAAAAATTTGAGGTGAGTCAGAGAGCACAGTGAAAGAAGCAAGTTTATGAGAAATTACTCCATTACAGAGTTGGACATCCTCAGAAAACAAGAGGAGGAATGCATTGTCTTTTGTTAGTGTCTCTACTTATAAATAACTATAAAGAGAAAGAGTTATAAATAAACTTGGAAGGTGCAGATGTAGTCACTAAAGTTGGGGCTACTGGTTTTAACAATAACCATTAACCTATTGACCTAAGCTACCTCATTAATTATATCCTTACAAAAATATGCTGCACTCCTAGGACATTTATACATTTTTTCAGGCTTGGTGGAAGATGTCTTGTATGACCACAAATATTCTGCAATTGTAATTTGTGGCCAAGTAAAAAATGTGACTATTTTCAGACCACGAACACTAACCTTCTAGATGCCTTGTGAGTACCTAGCTACTCATATTAAGATAGAATATTCTAGTCATGTTTATTAAACTAGAAGCTAGGTAACCATGAGTTCCTCTAACAGAGCAAGTCTACTCCTCAAGGAGAAAATGTATTTCTCAGGAATTTTATGCATTTTGTTTGATGGCATTTGGTATGTTTACCAAAATGGCAGAAAAGAGTGAAATTAGTCCTCAAAGATTTCTCCAGATTGGATATAAAGTAAACAAAATGATTACAGTTAATATGCAAGTTGATGCAGTTGATATTCAAAAGAAATTTTGTTTGAAACAAAATGAGATTTTCATTTTTACTTATTATTATTATTATTATTATCATTTTGAGACAGAGTCTTGCTCTGTTGCCCAGGCTGGAGTGCAGTGCAGCATCTTGGCTCACTGAAACCTGCGCCTCCCGGGTTCAAGCAATTCTCCTGCCTCAGCCTCCCAAGTAGCTGGGATTACAGGCATGAATCACCACACCCAGCTAATATTTGTATCTTTAGTAGAGATAGGGTTTCACTCTGTTGACCAGGCTGGTCTCAAACCCCTGACAACAAGCGATCTGCCCACCTTGGCCTCCCAAATTGCTAGGATTACAGGCATGAGCCACCACTCCCAGCCACAATGAGGTTTTTAAATAATTCTGATTTCCTGCTGTTGAGCAGGGAGCTGAGCAAGTTCAACAGATCATGGGCCTAAACTAGGGGAAGACTGAGGACAAACTCTAGAACACATGTGATTAAATTAATTACAATGGAAACCAAATCAAATTGAATAAGGCTCTACCTCTTAGTTTCAAGATGTTTCCCCTCATTTTGAAATGTGGTGTTATTCCATGGAAAAGAAAACTAATGTTTATCTCCAGAGTAAAGAACAGGGTTCTTTGCAGGGATTGATTGACTGAGAACTATGGCTCAGGATTAAAAATCCTTCTTTTTTTCATTTATAGGCTAAAAATAAATTTCTAAACCCCTGTTGACTAAATGCACCTCTCTTCTTGGATAAGGACATTCCAAAGTTAACCTGAAAAGCTAGCTCAAGCCATGGGTCACACATGTCTCATTATACTCTCCTCCTTTTGGTTTTAATTTTAATTTAAATTTCAATTTTTAATTTATTTTTGTGGGTACATAGTTGGTGTATATATTTATGGGGGTACATAACATACTTTGATGCAGTCATGCAATGAGTAATACATAATAAAAAATGGGGTATCTGTCCCCTCAAACATTTATAGCTTGTGTTATAAACAATCCAATTATACTCTTTTCATTTTTTTACATGTGGAATTAAATTATTTTTGACTATAATCCCCCTGTTGTGCTTTCAAATGCTGTCTTATTCATTCTTTCTAACAATAGTTTTTTTTTACCCATTTAACATCCCCACTATCCCCTTGTTCCCTCCCTGCCCTTCCCAGTCTCTGGTAACCATCCTTACACTCTCTATCTCTATGACACCAGTTGTTTTGAATTTTAGCACCCACAAATAAGTGAGAACATGTGACATTTGTCTTACTGTGCCTGACATTTCACTTTCATAAACATAAAGACTTTCACAAACATAATGACTTTCAGTTCCATTTATGTTATTGCAAATGGCAGGCGTCTCATTCTTTCTTACAGCTGAATAGTACTCCATTGTGTATATGTACCACATTTTTTCTATCCAGTCATCTGTTGATGGACATTTAGGTTCCTTCCAAATCTTGGCTATTATAAACCCTGCTGTAGCAAACATGAGAGTGCCAATAGGTCTTTGATTTACCAATTTTATTTCTTGTAGGCATATACTGTGCAGTGGGATTGCTGGACCACATAGTAGCTCTATTTTTAGTTATATCGGGAACATCCAAACTGTCCTTAAACGTGCTCCCAACAGCAGTGTACAAGGGTTCCCTTCACTCCATATACTCACCAGCATTTGTTTTTCACGGACTTCTGGATAAAAGCCATCTTAACTGGGGTGAAATGATATCTCATTTTGGGTTTGATTTGCATTTCTATGATGATCAGTAATGTGGAGCACCTATTCATTTGCCTGTTTCACATTTGTATGTCTTCTTTTCATAAATGTCTATTTAAATTTTTTGTCCACTCTTTATTTACTACTTTTTTCTATAGAATTTCTTGAACTCAATATATTGTAGTGTATTAGTCTGTTTCTGCACTGCTATAAAAAATACCTGAGACTGTGTTATCTATTTATTTACTGTGATGAAGTCTTGGTCTGTTGCCCAGGCTGAAGTGCAGTGGTGTAATCTCGGCTCACTGCAACCTCCACCTCCTGATTCAAGCAATTCTCTGCCTCAGCCTCCTGAGTAGCTGAGATTACAGGCACCTGACACCATGCCTGGCTAATTTTTGTATTTTTAGTGGAGACGGGGTTTCACCATCTTGGCCAGGCTGGTCTTGAACTCCTGGCCTAGTTATCCACCCGCCTCAGCCTCCCAAAGTGGTGAGATTACAGGCATGAGCCACCACACCTGGCAAGACTGGGTAATTTATAAAGGAAATGGGTTTAATTGACTCACAGTTCCATATGGCCGGGGAGGCCTCAGGAAACTTACAATAATGGCAGATGGGGAAACAGGCACCTCTTACATGACAGCAGGCGAGAGAACATGTATGTGAAGGAAAGGGGGAAGAGTCCCTTATAAAACCATCAGATCTCATTATCAGAAGAACAGCATGGGGGAAACCACCCCCATGATCCAATCACCTTCTACCAAGTCTCTCCCTGAACATCTGGGGATTAC
The DNA here is from genome assembly GCF_000001405.40 of Homo sapiens. Classification (NCBI taxonomy): domain Eukaryota; kingdom Metazoa; phylum Chordata; class Mammalia; order Primates; family Hominidae; genus Homo; species Homo sapiens. The sequence goes on from NC_000022.11 coordinate 11,329,401, forward strand.
AATTCAATATGAGATTTGGGTGGGGACCCAAATCCTAACCATATCATGTAGCTATTAATTGCTTTTCAGATGGATAATTTACAAACATTTTCTCTCATTCTGTGGATTTTCTCTTCACTATGTTTCTTGTTTCCTTCACTTTAAAAAGGCTTTCTGACTTTCTGTAATCCCATTTGTCCATGTTTGTTTGGGTTGTCTGTGCTTCTGGGGCATTATTTAAGGAATTTTTGCCCAAACCAATGCCCTAAAGAGTTTCCCCAATGTTTTGTTGTAAAAGTTTGATGGTTTGAGGCGTTAGGTTTAAGTCTTTAATTCATTTTAATTTGATTTTTGTAAGTGGCAAGAAATAGGGTTCTAGTTTTATTCTTCTGCCTATGGCTTGCCAGTTTTCCCAGCCCTATTTATTACAAAAACTGTCTCATTTTTTATTGTATGTTCTTGGTACTTCTGTTGAAAATTAATTTAGCTGTTCCTCCCATAGGATTCCAGAACACTGCTACGAGAGTCTGAATGTTTGTCCCTCGCATAGGATTCCAGAATGCTGCTGGGTTCTAAATGTTTGTCACATAGGATTCCAGAACACTGCTACGAGGGTCTGAATGTTTGTTCCTCACAGGGGATTCCAGAACACTCCTGCTGTTGTCTGAATGTTTGTCCCTCACATGGGATTCCTGAACACTGCTATGAGGGTCTGAATGTTTGTCCCTCACACAGAATGCCAGTTTTCCCAGCCCTATTTATTATAAAAACTGTCTTATTTTTTATTGTATATTCTTGGCACTTTTGTTGAAAATTAATTTAGCTGTATGAGTTTGTTTCTAAGGTCTCTATTTCGTTCCATCTGTCTTTATGTCTGTTTTTATGCTAGTGTCATGCTGTTTTAATTACTATAACTTAGTAGTATAATTTAAAACCAGGTAATGGAATTCCTCCAGTTTTGTTTTATATACTCAGCATAGCTTTGACTATTATGCTGTTTTGTGATGTTTCCATATAAATTTCAGAATTTTTTTTCTATATCTGTGAGGAATGTGTTCTTCTTTTTTTTTTTAGATTGCATCTTGCTCTGTCACCTAGACTGGAGTGCAGTGATGTTATCCCTGCACACAGCAACCTCCACCTCCTGGGTTCAAGCAATTCTTTGTCTCAGCCTCCTGAGTAGCTGGGATTACAGGCACCTGCCACCATGCCTGGCTAATTTTTTTGTATTTTTAGTAGAAGTGGGTTTTCACGAAATTGGCCAGGCTGGTCTTGAACTCCTGACCTCATGATCCACCAACTTCAGCCTCCCAAAGTGCTGGGATTACAGGCATGAGCCACTGCCCCTGGCCTGTTATTTTGATAGAGATGGCATGAAAGGTATAGATTGCTATGGATTGTATGGACATTTTTTAAAAATACTGATTCTTCCAATCTGTGAACATAAAAATATCTTTCCAATTTTTGGGTCCTTTTTCATTTCTTTTATCAGTGTTTTACAGTTTTAACTGTTGAGAACTTTTTTTTCTTTGGTAAATTCCAACACATTTTGTTTTATTTGTGGCTACTGCAAATAGTATTACATTTTTGAATTCTTTTTCAGTTTGTTGACTGTTGGCATATAGAAATCCTACTGATTTGTATATGTTGATTTTGTATTCTGCAAATTTACTCAAGTTATTACTTCTAATAGTTTTTGGTGGATGTATTAGACCATTCTCATATTGCTATAAAAAGTAATCAGTGACTGGTTAATTTATAAAGAAAATAGGTTTAATTGGTTCATGGTTCTTCAGGCTGTACAGAAAGCATAGCACTGGCTTCTGCTTCTGGGGAAGCCTCTGACAACTGACAAGGTGAAAAATAAATCCGGTGCTTGCACATCACATGGTAAGTGTGAGGGCAGGGGGGAAGTGCTACACACACTTGTAGATAACCAGCTCTGATAAAAACTTACTATTGTGGGAATGGCACCAAAGGAAATGATGCCAAACTCTTCATGGAAATCTTGCCCTCATGATTCAATCACCTCCCCTCTAGGCCCAATTCCAACTTTGAGGATTATATTTCAATATAAGATTTTGGTGGGAATATACATCCAAACTGTATCATTTTGCCCCTGGCCATTCCAAATCTCATATCCTTCTCATATTTCAAAATACAATCATGACTTCCCTATAATCCCCAAAGTCTTAACTAATTTCAGCCTTAACTCAAAAGTCAAAAGTCTCATCTAAGACACAGCTAACTTCTTCCTTCTATAAGCCTGTAAAGTAAAAAAAAAAACCAAGTTCTTCCAAGATACAAATGAGGCAGAGGCATTGGGTAAATACTCCTATTCTAAAAGGAAGAAATCAGCCAAAAGAAAGGGGCCACAGGATCCATGAAAGTCTGAAACCCAGAAGGGCAGTTATTGAATTGTAAGGCTCCAAAATAATTATTTTTGACTCTGTGTCCCATTTCCAGGGCACACTAATGCCTTGGGAAGGTTCTACCTTGTGACTTTGCATGGTTCAGCCCCCACAGCTGCTCTCATGGGCTGGCATTCTGTGCCCCTGGCTTTTCAAGGTGCCAGGTGCAGGCTGTAGCTAGATCTACCATTCCGGGGCCTGGAGGACAGTGATCCTCTCCTCACAGATCTACTAGGCCATGACCCAGTGGGGAGCCTGCCTGGGGACTGTCACCCCACATTTCTTTTCTCCATTGTTTTAGTAGAGGATCTCCATGAGGGCTCCACCCATGCAGCATGCCTCTGCCGGCACACCCTGGCTTTTTCTTTTCTTTTCTTTTCTTTTTTCTTATTATACTTTAAGTTTTAGGGTACATGTGCAAATTGTGCAGGTTAGTTACATATGTATACATGTGCCATGCTGGTGTGCTGCACCCACTAACTCGTCATCTAGCATAAGGTATATCCCCCGATGCTATCCCTCCCCCCTCCCCCCACCCCACAACAGTCCCCAGAGTGTGATATTCCCCTTCCTGTGTCCATGTGTTCTCATTGTTCAATTCCCATCTATGAGTGAGAAAATGCAGTGTTTGGTTTTTTGTTCTTGCGATAGTTTACTGAGAATGATGATTTCCAATTTCATCCATGTCCCTACAAAGGACATGAACTCATCATTTTTTATGGCTGCATAGTATTCCATGGTGTATATGTGCCACATTTTCTTAATCCAGTCTATCATTGTTGGACATTTGGGTTGGTTCCAAGTCTTTGCTATTGTGAATAATGCCGCAATAAACATACGTGTGCATGTGTCTTTATAGCAGCATGATTTATAGTCCTTTGGGTATATACCCAGTAATGGGATGGCTGGGTCAAATGGTATTTCCAGTTCTAGATCCCTGAGGAATCGCCACACTGACTTCCACAATGGTTGAACTAGTTTACAGTCCCACCAACAGTGTAAAAGTGTTCCTATTTCTCCACATCCTCTCCAGCACCTGTTGTTTCCTGACTTTTTAATGATTGCCATTCTAACTGGTGTGAGATGTTATCTCATTGTGGTTTTGATTTGCATTTCTCTGATGGCCAGTGATGGTGAGCATTTTTTCATGTGTTTTTTTGGCTGCATAAATGTCTTCTTTTGAGAAGTGTCTGTTCATGTCATTTGCCCACTTTTTGATGGGGTTGTTTGTTTTTTTCTTGTAAATTTGTTTGAGTTCATTGTAGATGCTGGATATTAGCCCTTTGTCAGATGAGTAGGTTGCAAAAATTTTCTCCCATTTTGTAGGTTGCCTGTTAACTCTGATGGTCGTTTCTTTTGCTGTGCAGAAGCTCTTTAGTTTAATTAGATCCCATTTGTCTATTTTGGCTTTTGTTGCCATTGCTTTTGGTGTTTTAGACATGAAGTCCTTGCCCATGCCTATGTCCTGAATGGTAATGCCAAGGTTTTCCTCTAGGGTTTTTATGGTTTTAGGTCTAATGTTTAAGTCTTTAATCCATCTTGAATTGATTTTTGTATAAGGTGTAAGGAAGGGATCCAGTTTCAGCTTTCTACATATGGCTAGCCAGTTTTCCCAGCACCATTTATTAAATAGGGAATCCTTTCCCCATTGCTTGTTTTTCTCAGGTTTGTCAAAGATCAGATAGTTGTAGATATGCGGCGTTATTTCTGAGGGCTCTATTCTGTTCCATTGATCTATATCTCTGTTTTGGTACCAGTACCCTGCTGTTTTGGTTACTGTAGCCTTGTAGTATAGTTTGAAGTCAGGTAGTGTGATGCCTCCAGCTTTGTTCTTTTGGCTTAGGATTGACTTGGTGATGCGGGCTCTTTTTTGGTTCCATATGAACTTTAAAGTAGTTTTTTCCAATTCTGTGAAGAAAGTCATTTGTAGCTTGATGAGGATGGCATTGAATCTGTAAATTACCTTGGGCAGTATGGCCATTTTCACGATATTGATTCTTCCTACCCATGAGCATGAAATGTTCTTCCATTTGTTTGTATCCTCTTTTATTTCCTTGAGCAGTGGTTTGTAGTTCTCCTTGAAGAGGTCCTTCACATCCCTTGTAAGTTGGATTCCTAGGTATTTTATTCTCTTTGAAGCAATTGTGAATGGGAGTTCACTCATGATTTGGCTCTCTGTTTGTCTGTTGGTGGTGTATAAGAATGCTTGTGATTTTTGTACATGGATTTTGTATCCTGAGACTTTGCTGAAGTTGCTTATAAGCTTAAGGAGATTTTGGGCTGAGACAATTGAGTTTTCTAGATATATAATCATGTCATCTGCAAACAGGGACAATTTGACTTCCTCTTTTCCTAATTGAATACCCTTTATTTCCTTCTCCTGCTTAATTGCCCTGTCCAGAACTTCCAACACTATGTTGAATAGGAGTGGTGAGAGAGGGCATCCCTGTCTTGTGCCAGTTTTCAAAGGGAATGCTTCCAGTTTTTGCCCATTCAGTATGATATTGGCTGTGGGTTTGTCATAGATAGCTCTTAATATTTTGAAATACGTCTCATCAATACCTAATTTATTGAGAGTTTTTAGCATGAAGGTTCGTTGAATTTTGTCAAAGGCTTTTTCTGCAACTATTGAGATAATCATGTGGTTTTTGTCTTTGGTTCTGTTTATATGCTGGATTACATTTATTGATTTGCGTATATTGAACCAGCCTTGCATCCCAGGGATGAAGCCCACTTGATCATGGTGGATAAGCTTTTTGATGTGCTGCTGGATTCGGTTTGCCAGTATTTTATTGAGGATTTTTGCATCAAAGTTCATCAAGGATATTAGTCTAAAATTCTCTTTTTTTGTTGTGTCTCTGCCTGGCTTTGGTATCAGAATGATGCTGGCCTCATAAAATGAGTTAGGGAGGATTCCCTCTTTTTCTATTGATTGGAATAGTTTCAGAAGGAATGGTACCAGTTCCTCCTTGTACCTCTGGTAGAATTCGGCTGTGAATCCATCTGGTCCTGGACTCTTTTTGGTTGGTAAGCTATTGATTATTGCCACAATTTCAGCTCCTGTTATTGGTCTATTCAGAGATTCAACTTCTTCCTGGTTTAGTTTTGGGAGAGTGTATGTGTCCAGGAATTTATCCATTTCTTCTAGATTTTCTAGTTTATTTGCGTAGAGGTGTTTGTAGTATTCTCTGATGATAGTTTGTATTTCTGTGGGATCGGTGATGATATACCCTTTATCATTTTTTATTGCATCTATTTGATTCATCTCTCTTTTTTTCTTTATTAGTCTTGCTAGCAGTCTATCAATTTTGTTGATCCTTTCAAAAAACCAGCTGCTGGATTCATTAATTTTTTGAAGGGTTTTTTGTGTCTCTATTTCCTTCAGTTCTGCTCTGATTTTAGTTATTTCTTGCCGTCTGCTAACTTTTGAATGTGTTTGCTCTTGCTTTTCTAGTTCTTTTAATTGTGATGTTAGGGTGTCAATTTTGGATCTTTCCTGCTTTCTCTTGTGGGCATTTAGTGCTATAAATTTCCCTCTACGCACTGCTTTGAATGCGTCCCATAGATTCTGGTATGTTGTGTCTTTGTTCTCGTTGGTTTCAAAGAACATCTTTATTTCTGCCTTCATTTCGTTATGTACCCAGTAGTCATTCAGGAGCAGGTTGTTCAGTTTCCATGTAGTTGAGCAGTTTTGAGTGAGTTTCTTAATCCTGAGTTCTAGTTTGATTGCACTGTGGTCTGAGAGATAGTTTGTTATAATTTCTATTCTTTTACATTTGCTGAGGAGAGCTTTACTTCCCAGTATGTGGTCAATTTTGGAATAGGTGTGGTGTGGTGCTGAAAAGAATGTATATTCTGTTGATTTGTGGTGGAGAGTTCTGTAGATGTCTATTAGGTCTGCTTGGTGCAGAGCTGAGTTCAATTCCTGGGTATCCTTGTTGACTTTCTGTCTCGTTGATCTGTCTAATGTTGACAGTGGGGTGTTAAAGTCTCCCATTATTAATGTGTGGGAGTCTAAGTCTCTTTGTAGGTCACTCAGGACTTGCTTTATGAATCTTGGTGCTCCTGTATTGGGTGCATATATATTTAGGATAGTTAGCTCTTCTTGTTGAATTGATCCCTTTACCATTATGTAATGGCCTTCTTTGTCTCTTTTGATCTTTGTTGGTTTAAAGTCTGTTTTATCAGAGACTAGGATTGCAACCCCTGCCTTTTTTTGTTTTCCATTTGCTTGGTAGATCTTCCTCCATCCTTTTATTTTGAGCCTATATGTGTCTCTGCACGTGAGATGGGTTTCCTGAGTACAGCACACTGATGGGTCTTGACTCTTTATCCAATTTGCCAGTCTGTGTCTTTTAATTGGAGCATTTAGTCCATTGACATTTAAAGTTAATATTGTTATGTGTGAATTTGATCCTGTCATTATGATGTTAGCTGGTTATTTTGCTCGTTAGTTGATGCAGTTTCTTCCTTGTCTCGATGGTCTTTACATTTTGGCATGATTTTGCAGCGGCTGGTACCGGTTGTTCCTTTCCATGTTTAGTGCTTCCTTCAGGAGCTCTTGTAAGGCAGGCCTGGTGGTGACAAAATCTCTCAGCATTTGCTTGTCTGCAAAGCATTTTATTTCTCCTTCACTTATGAAGCTTTGTTTGGCTGGATATGAAATTCTGGGTTGAAAATTCTTTTCTTTAAGAATGTTGAATATTGGCCCCCACTCTCTTCTGGCTTGTAGGGTTTCTGCCGAGAGATCCACTGTTAGTCTGAATGGCTTCCCTTTGAGGGTAACCCGAACTTTCTCTCTGGCTGCCCTTAACATTTTTTCCTTCATTTCAACTTTGGTGAATCTGACAATTATGTGTCTTGGAGTTGCTCTTCGCGAGGAGTATCTTTGTGGCGTTCTCTGTATTTCCTGAATCTGAACGTTGGCCTGCCTTGCTAGATTGGGGAAGTTCTCCTGGATAATATCCTGCAGAGCGTTTTCCAACTTGGTTCCATTCTCCTCATCACTTTCAGGTACACCAATCAGACGTAGATTTGGTCTTTACACATAGTCCCATATTTCTTGGAGGCTTTGCTCATTTGTTTTTATTCTTTTTTCTCTAAACTTTCCTTCTCGCTTCATTTCATTCATTTCATCTTCCATCGCTGATACCCTTTCTTCCAGTTGATTGCATTGAGCTGTGGTGGGCTCCACCCAGTTCGAGCTTCCCAGCTGCTTTGTTTACCTAATCAAGCCTCGCTGCCGCCTTGCAGTTTGATCTCAGACTGCTGTGCTAGCAATCAATGAGACTCCGTGGGCATAGTACCCTCCGAGCCAGGTGCGGGTTATAATCTCAGGGTGCGCCGTTTCTTAAGCCCTTAGGAAAAGCGCAGTATTCGGGTGGGAGTGACCCGATTTTCCAGGTGCCGTCTGTCACCCCTTTCTTTGACTCAGAAAGGGAACTCCCTGACTCCTTGCACTTCCCAAGTGAGGCAATGCCTCGCCCTGCTTCGGCTCGCACACGGTGAGCACACCCACTGACCTGCGCCCACTGTCTGGCACTCCCTAGTGAGATGAACCCGGTACCTCAGATGGAAATGCAGAAATCACCCGGCTTCTGCGTCCCTCACGCTGGGAGCTGTAGACCGGAGCTGTTCCTATTCTGCCATCTTGGCTCCTCCTACCACCCTGGCTTTTTCATACATCCTTTGAAATAAAGGTGGAGGCTCCCAAGTCTCAACTACTTGCATTTGGTAAACCCACAGGCCTAACACCACATGGAAGCTACCAAGGTTATGGCTTGCACCCTCTGAAGCAGTGACTGGAGTTGTAACTGGGTCAATTTGAGCTACACCTGGAGCTGAAGCAGTGGCCAGGAAGCAGGGAGTCTTGTTCCAAAGCTACCCAAGGCAGCAGGTCCTAGGTCTGATCCCAGAAACTATTCTCTTCTTTTAGGCCTCAGGGCCTGTGATGGGGGGCTGCCTTTTAGATTTTTAAAATGCCTTCAATTCCTCTTTCCCATTGCCTTGGCTATCAATACTTGCTTTTTTTTAGGTTATACAAATATCTCTAACAAGTAGTTGACACATATCCTGCTTGAGTTCCTCTCTTATAAAAGCTTTTTATATTTCAGCCACATGACTAGGCTGCAAAGTTTTCAAGCTTTTACACTATGCTTCTTTTGTAAGTATAAGTTACTACTTATTTTATTTTATTTTTTTTGCTAGAACATGTGAGCATAGGTTGTTAGAAGCAGCAAGGCCACATCACAACTGCTTTGCTGCTTAGACATTTTTCCAACAGAAACCCTAAATCATCAATTTCAAATTCAAACTTTTATATATCCGTAGGGCATGACAGAAATTCAGCCAACAACTTTGCTAAGACAACATGCATGACCTTTGTTTCAGTCCCAATAAGTTTCTAGTTTTCATCTGAGACCTCCTCAGCCCGGGCTTCACTGTACAGATCACTATCAGCATTTTGGTCACAGATATTCAACCAGTCTCTAAGAAAATCTCAACTTTCCCTCATTTTTCTGTCTTCTGAATCCTACAAACTCTTCCAACTTCTGCCTGTTTACCCAATTACAAAGCTGATTCCACATTTTGGGGTATTCTTATAACCATTTTCCATTCCTTGGTGCCAATTTTCTGTATTAAGCTATTTTTGCATCACTATGAGAGTGGGACTGGATAATTTATTTTTTACAAAGTAGGTTTAAGTGGCTTATGATTCTACAGGCTGTAGAGAAGACATAGCACTGGAATATGCTCCTGGGGAGGTCTCTGGAAGTTTACAGTCATGGCAGAAGTTGAAGCAGAGTCTTGCACATCACAGGGCAAAAAGCAGGAGCAAAAAACAGAGGGGCGAGTTGTTACACAGTTTCGAATAACCAGATCTTATGGGAACTCACTCACTATCATGAGAATAGTAACAAATGGGATGGTGCTAAGCCATTTATGAGTAATACACCCCAATGGTTAAATCACCTTTCACCAGGCCCATCTCCAACATTTAGAATTACATTTAAATATGAAATTTGGGAGGGGACACACATTCAAACCCTATCAGAGGAGTCTTTATGCTTTTTCCAATATAAGATTATATAATTGGCAAAAAAAAAAAGGTAATTTGACTTATTTTCCAATTGGGATGCGTTTTATTGCTTTCTCCTGTCTGATTGCTCCAGATAGGACTTTCAGCATTATGTTGAATAACAGTGGTAAAAGTGGACATTCTTGTCATCTTCCAGATTTTAGAGGAAAGGCTTTTAGTTTTTCCCCACTTAGTGTGATACTAGCTGTGGGTCTGTCAAATGTGACTTTTATTATGTTGAGGTATGTTCATTCCATACCCAGTTTTTAAAGGGTTTTTTTATTATTAAAGACTATTAAATTTTATCAAAAAATTTTTAGCATAATTGAAATGATTATATGGATTTTGTCCTTGTTTTGTTTTGTTTTGTTTTATTTTTTTGAGATGAAGTCTCCCTCTGTCACCCAGGCTGGAGGGCAATGGCATGATCTCAGCTCAATGCAAACTCTGCCTCCCAGGTTCAAGTGATTCTTCTTCTTCAGCCTCCTGAGTAGCTGGGATCACAGGTGCCCACCACCACACCTGGCTAATTTTTGTAATTTTAGTAGAGACGGGGCTTCGCCCTGTTGGCCAGACTGGTTTTAAACTCCTGACCTCAGGTGATCCGCCCACCTCAGCTTCCTAAATTGCTGGGATTTCAGGTGTGAGCCACTGTGCCTGGCCCCTTCATTCTCTTTATGTGATCTATCACATCGATTGATTTGCATGTTGACCCATCCTTACGTCCCTGAGATAAATCCCACTTGGTCATTATGAATTACCTATTTATGTATTGCTTAATTCAGTTTGTTAGGTGTTTTGCAAATTTTTCCACCAATATTCTCAGATATGGGCCTGTCGTTCCCTTTTTTTAATGTGTCTTTGTCTGGTTTTGATATCAGGGTAATACTAGCCTCAAAGAATGACTTTGGAAATGTTCTTTCCTTCTCTAGTTTTCAGTCTGGTCCTACAGACTTTTTTTATTAAGGCTTTAATTTTGTTAATAGTTATTGATCTGTTCAGGTTTTAGATTTTTTTCCTAGTTAAATCTTGGTAAGTTGTGTGTGTCTAAGAATTAATTTCCTCTAGGTTTTCTAATTTGTTGGCATACAATTGCTGATATTATTTACTAATGATCCTTTGCTTTTCTGAAGCATTATTTGTAATGTCTCCTTTTTCACCTCTGATTTTACTAATTTGTATCTTTTCTGTTTTTTAGTTAGCCTGTTTAAATATTTGTCAATTGTTTTACTTTTCAAAAATCAACATTTTCTTTCATTAATTCTTTACATTATTTTCGTCATTTTAACTTTATCTACTTCTGCTCTAATCTTTATTATTTCTTTTCTTCTAATTTTGGGTTAGGTTTGGTCTTTTATTCTAGTTAATTAAGATGTATTGTTAGGTTATTTATTTGAAGCTTTTCTGTTTTTTATGTAGGCACTTACAGTTATAAATTTTCCTTTTATAATAGTACCTCTTTAACTATATTCCATAGGTTTTTCTATGCTATGTTTCCATTATCATTTGTTTCAAGAAATTTTTCTATTTTCTTCTTAACATTTTTATCAACCTACTAATCATTCAGGAGCATACTGCTTAATGCCCATTTGTTTATATAGTTTCTTAAATTCCTTTTTTAATTGATATCTAGTTTTATCCCCTGTAGTCAGAGAAAATGCTTGATATTACTTCAATTTTTTGGAATGTTTTTAGACTTGTTCCTTAACATATGGTCTATCCTTGAAAATAATGCATGTGCTGAGGAGAAGAATGTGTATTCTGCAGCTGTTGGATGAAATTTTCTGTAAATATCTATTAGGTTCATTTGTTCTATAGTACAGATTAAGTCTGATGTTTCTTTGTTTATTTTCTGTCTGGAAGGTCTACCTAATGACTAAAGTGGGGTGTTGAAGTGTCCAGCCATTATTGTATTGAGGTCTCTTTCTTTAGCTCATAATATTTGCTTCATTTATCTAGGTGCTTTAGTGTTGGGTGCATATATATTTTCAATTATTATATCCTCTTGATGAATTGATCTCTTTATTATTATATAACGACCTTTTAATTTCTTCCTACAGTCTTTTGTGGAAATCTATTTTTGTCTGGTATAAGTATGGCTATTTCTGCTTTTTTTGGTCTCTATTGGCATGGGATAACTTTTTCCATCCTTTTGTTTTCAGTCTAAATGTATCTTTGTAGGTAAAGTGTGTTTTTTTTGTAGGTCACAGATTATTGTCCTGCTTCTCTATCCATTCATCCACTATTTTTCTTTTGACTGGAGTACTTAGTTCATTTAAATTCAATGTTATCAGTGATAAGCACTTACTCCTGCCATTTTTCATTTGTTTTCTGATTGATTTTTGCCCTCTCTTCCTTCTTTCCTTTCTTCCTGTCTTCCTTTTAGTGAAGGTGATTTCTCTTGAATTATAATCTAATTTCTTGCTTTTTACTTTTTGTACATCTTTGGTACACCTTTTGATTTGAAATTACCATGAGGCTTGAAAATAATATAATACATGATTTTAGACTGTGGACAATTTAACACTGGTTGCATAAACAAAGAAACAAGCAAAACAGAGGTTGGAGCCAAGATGGCCAAATAGCAACAGCTCCAATCTACAGCTCCCAGAATGAGCGACACAGAAGATGGGTGAGTTCTGCATTTCCAAATGTGGTACCGGGTTCATCTCACTGGGGAGTGTCAGACAGAGGGTGCAGCACAGTGGGTGCAGTGCACTGAGCATGAGCAGAAGCAGGGTGAGACATCACCTCACCCAGGAAGCACAAGGGGTCAGGGAATTCCCTCTGCTAGTCAAAGAAAGGGGTGACAGACGGCACCTGGAAAATTGGGTCACTCCCACCCTAATACTGCACTTTTCCAATGGTCTTAGCAAATGGCACACCAGGAGATTATATCTCATGCCTGGCTTGGAGGGTCCTACGCCCACAGAGCCTCACTCATTGCTAGCACAGCAGTCTGAGATCAAACTGCAAGGTGGCAGTGAGGCTTGGGGAGGGTCCCCTGCCATTGCCGAGGCTTGAGTAGGTAAAGCAGCCGGGAAGCTTGAACTGGGTGGAGCCCACTTCAGCTCAAGGAGGCCTGCCTGCCTCTGTAGACTCCACCTCTGGGAGTAGGGCATAGCCAAACAAAAGGCAGCAGAAACCTCTGCAGATTTTAATGTCCCTGTCTGACAGCTTTGAAGAGAGTAGTGATTCTCCCAGCATGCAACTGGAGATCTGAGAATGGGCAGACTGCCTCCTCAACTGGGTCCCTGAACCCCTAGTAGCCTAACTGGGAGGCACCCACAGTAGGGGCAGACTGACACCTAACATGGCCGGGTAATCCTTTGAGACAAAACTTCCAGAGGAACGATCAAGCAGCAGCATTTGCACTTCACCAATATCCATTGTTCTGCAGCCACCGCTGCTGATACCCAGGTAAACAGGGTCAGGAGTGGACCTCCAGCAAACTCCAACAGACCTGCAGCTGAGGGTTCTGACTGTAAGAAGGAAAACTAACAAACAGAAAGGACATCCACGCCAAAAACCCATCTGTACGTCACCATCATCAAAGACCAAAGGTAGATAAAACCACAAATATGGGGAAAAAACAGAGCAGAAAAACTGGAAACTCTAAAAATCAGAGCTCCTCTCCTCCTCCAAAGGAACGCAGCTCCTCACCAGCAACGGAACAAGGCTGGAAGGAGAATGACTTTGAGGAGTTGAGAGAAGAAGGCTTCAGATGATTAAACTACACCAAGCTAAAGGAGAAAGTCTGAACCCATGGCAAAGAAGTTAAAAACCTTGAAAAAAAGTTAGATGAATGGCTAAGTAGAATAATCAATGCAGAGAAGTCCTTAAAGGACCTGATGGAGCTGAAAACCATGGCATGAAAACTAAGTGATGAATGCCGAAGCCTCAGTAGCCGATTCGATCAACTGGAAGAAAGGGTATCAGTGATGGAAGATGAAATGAATAAAATGAAGCGAGAAGAGAAGTTAAGAGAAAAAGGAACAAAAAGAAATGAACAAAGCCTCCAAGAAATATGGGACTATGGGAAAAGACCAAATCTACGTCTGATTGGTGTACCTGAAAGTGACGGGGAGAATGGAAGCAAGTTGTAAAGCACTCTGCAAGATATTATCCAGGAGAACTTCCCCAATCTAGCAAGGCAGGCCAACATTCACATTCAGGAAATACAGAGAATGCCACAAAGATACTCCTTGAGAAGAGCAACTCCAGGACACATAATTGTCAGATTCACCAAAGTTGAAATGAGGAAAAAATGTTAAGGGCAGCCAGAGACAAAGGTCAGGTTACCCACAAAGGGAAGCTCATCAGACTAACAGCTGATCTCTCGGCAGAAACTCTACAAGCCAGAAGTGAGTGGGGCCAATATTCATCATTCTTAAAGAAAAGAATTTTCAGCCCAAAATTTCATTTCCAGCCAAACTAAGCTTCATAAGTGAAGGAGAAATAAAATCCTTTACAGACAAGCAAATGCTGAGAGATTTTGTCACCACCAGACCTGCCCTAAAAGAGCTCCTGAAGGAAACACTAAACATGGAAAGGAACAACTGGTACCAGTCACGGCAAAAACGCCAAATTGTAAAGATCATCGATGCTAGGAAGAAACTGCATCAACTAACGAGCAAAATAACCAGCTAACATCATAATGACAGGATCAAATTCACACATAGCAATATTAACCTTAAATGTAAATGGGTTCAATGCTGCAATTAAAGGACACAGACTGGCAAATTGGATAAAAAGTCAAGACCAATCAGTGTGCTGTATTCAGGAAACCTATCTCATGTGCAGAGATACACACAGGCTCAAAATAAAGGGATGGAGGAAGATCTACCAAGCAAATGGAAAACAAAAAAAGGCAGGGGTTTCATTCCCAGTTGCTAATAAAACAGACGTTAAACCAGCAAAGATCAAAAGAGACAAAGAAGGCCATGACATAATGGTAAAGGGATCAATTCAACAAGAAGAGCTAATTATCCTAAATATATATGCACCCAATACAGGAGCACCCAGATTCATAAAGCAAGTCCTTAGAGACCTACAAAGAGACTTAGACTCCCACACAATAATAATGGGAGACTTTAACACCCCACTGTTAATATTAGACAGATCAATGAGACAGAAAGTTAAAAAGGATATGCAGGAATTGAACTCAGCTCTGCACCAGGTGGACCTAATAGACATCTACAGAACTCTCCACCCCAAGTCAACAGAATACACATTCTTTTCAGCACCACACCACACCTATTCCAAAATTGACCACATAGTTGGAAGTAAAGCTCTCCTCAGCAAATGTAAAAGAACAGAAGTTATAACAAACTGTCTCTCAGAACACAGTGCAATCAAACTAGAACTCAGGATTAAGAAACTCACTCAACACCACTCAACTACATGGAAACTGAACAACCTGCTCCTGAATGACTACTGGGTATATAACGAAATGAAGGCAGAAATAAAGATGTTATTTGATACCAACGAGAACAAAGACACAACATACCAGAATCTCTGGGACACATTCAAAGCAGTGTGTAGAGGGAAATTTATAGCACTAAATGCCCACAAGAGAAAGCAGGAAAGATCTAATATGGACACCATAACAGCACAATTAAAAGAACTAGAGAAGCAAGAGCAAACACATTCAAAAGCTAGAAGAAGGCAAGAAATAACTAAAATCAGAGCAGAACTGAAGGAAATAGAGACACAAAAAACCCTTCAAAAAGTCAATGAATCCAGGAGCTTGTTTTTTGAAAAGATCAACAAAACTGATAGACCACTAGCAAGACTAATAAAGAAGAAAAGAGAGAAGAATCAAATAGATGCAATAAAAATGATAAAGGATATATCACCACCGATCCCACAGAAATACAAACTACCATCAGTGAATACAATAAACACCTCTATGCAAATAAACTAGAAAATCTAGAAGAAATGGATAAATTCCTCGACACATGCACCCTCCCAAAACTAAACCAGGAAGAAGTTGAATCTCTGAATAGACCAATAACAGGCTCTAAAATTGAGGCAATAATCAATAGCTTCCCAATCAAAAAAGCCTAAGAGCAGATGGATTCACAGTCAAATTCTACCAGAGGTACAAGAAGGAGCTAGTACCATTCCTTCTGAAACTATTCCAATCAATAGAAAAAGAGGGAATCCTCCCTAACTCACTTTATGAGGCCAGCATCATCCTGATACCAAAGCCGGACAGAGACACAACAAAAAAAGAGAATTTTAGACCAATATCCTTTATGAACATTGATGCAAAAATCCTCAATAAAATACTGGCAAACCAAATCCAGCAGCACATCAAAAAGCTTATCCACCATAATCAAGTGGGCTTCATCCCTGGGATGCAAGCCTGGTTAAACATACGCAAATCGATAAATGTAATCCAGCATATAAACAGAACCAAAGACAAAAACCACATGATTATCTCAATAGATGCAGAAAAGGCCTTTGCCAAAATTCAACAACATTCATGGTAAAAACTCTGAATAAATTAGGTATTGATGGGACGTGTCTGAAAATAATAAGAGCTATCTATGACAAACCCACAGCCAATGTCATACTGAATGGGCAAAAACTGGAAACATTCTCTTTGAAAACTGACAGAAGACAGGGATGCCCTCTCTCACCACTCTTATTCAACATAGTATTGGAAGTTCTGGCCAGGGAAATCAAGCAGGAGTTGAAAATAGAGGGTATTCAATTAGGAAAAGAGGAAGTCAAATTGTCCCTGTTTGCAGATGACATGATTGTATATCTAGAAAACCCCATTGTCTCAGCCCAAAATCTCCTTAAGCTGTTAAGCAGCTTCAGCCAAGTCTCAGGATACAAAATCCATGTACAAAAATCACAAGCATTCTTATACACCAATAACAGACAGACAGCCAAATCATGAGTCAACTCCTATTCACAATTGCTTCAGAGAGAATAAAATACCTAGGAATCCAACTAACAAGGGATGTGAAGGACCTCTTCAGGGAGAGCTAGAAACCATTGCTCAAGGAAATAAAAGAGGATACGAACAAATGGAAGAACATTCCATGCTCATTGGTAGGAAGAATCAATATCGTGAAAATGGCCATACTGCCCAAGGTAATTTATAGATTCAATGCCATCCCCATCAAGCTACCAATGCCTTTCTTCACAGAATTTGAAAAAACTACTTTAAAGTTCATATGTTTACTCTTTCTATTTGAGATTTTTTCCCCCCATAATTACCATATTATAATATTCAGTGTTTTTCCATGTGCTATTGCTAGTGAGTTCTGTACCTTCAGATGATTTCTTCTTGCTCGCTAACTTTTTTTCTTTTAGGTTAAGATATCCCTTTAGCATTTCTTGTAGGACAGGTCTGGTGTTAATGAAATCCCTCAGTTTTTTTTTGTCGGAAAAAGTTCTTATTTTCCCATCAAGTTTAAAGGCCGTTTTTGCCTGAGACATTATTCTAAAGTAAAAGTCTTTTTTTTCTTCAGCTTTTAATATGTCATGCCAGTCTCCCAGCCTGTAAATTTTCCCCTGAAAAGTCTGCTGTCAGATGTATTGGAGTTCCACTGAAAGTTATTTGTTTCTCTTCTCTCGATGCTTTTAGAATCATTTCTTTATCCTTAACTTTTGGGAGTTCAGTTAAAGCGCCTTGAGGTCGTCTTCTTTGGGTTAAATCTGCTTTATGTTCTGTAACTTTTTGTTACTCGAATATTGATATCAAATGTTGAGGAATTGTTTAATATGATTTAATATTATTTATTTAAATAAATGTTCAACTCATCTCTTTTTTTACCTCCTCTTTAAGGCCAATAACTCTTAGATTTGCTATTTTGGGGCTATTTTTTAAATTCTATAGGCATGCTTTATTTTTTTTCCTTTTTGTCTCCTCTGACTTTGTATTTTTAAACAGTCTGACTTCAAGTTCGCTAAATCTATCTTCTTCTTGGTCAATTCTTTTAAGTAATTCTGATCCATTCTTCAGTATGACAACAGCAATTTAACTTCAGAATATCTGCTTTATTCTTTTATTTCAATCTCATTGTTAAATTTATCTGATAGAATTTTGAATTCCTTCTCTGTGTTATAGTGTACATTTCTTTGAATTACCACAACCAGCTATTTTGGATTTCCTGTATGAAAGGTCACATATCTCTGTTTTTCCAGGATTTGTCCCTGGTGCTTTACTTGGCTTGTTTGGTGAGGTCATGTTTTCCTGGATGGCCTTGATACATGTAGATGTTCATCTGTATCTGGGCATTGAACAGTTCAGTCTTTACTGTAGTCTTCACAGTCTGGGCTTGTTAGTGCCCATTATCTTTGGGAACACTTTCCAGGTATTCAAAGCAACTTGGGTCCCAAACCCAATAGCACAGTAGTTTATGCAAACACATAGAGGTATGCCTTGGTGGCCTTGAATTAACATCAAGAAAAATTCTCTTGATTTATCAAATAAAAACTCTTGTTCTCTTCCCTTCCATTCCCTCAAATCAGCAGTCTCTCTTTCTGTGCTGAGACATGTGAAGCTGGGGTTGGGGTAACATAAGCACGCCTGTGGCCACCACCACTGAGACTGTGCTGGTTCACACCTGAAGTAGGCACAGAACTTGGTCTCACGCAAGGCCCACTGCAACACTACTTGGCTACCATATGTTTATTCAAAGCCCTAGGACTCTGTGATTAATATGTGGCAAAGCCAGCCAGGTTTGTATCTCTGCCTATAGGGTGGCAAGTTCCCCTAGCCATGAGTGGGTCCACAGATGCTACCTGGGAGCCAGAGATTAAAGCATAGAATCTTCAAAATTTACCTGCTCTTCTATTTTACTGTAGCTAACCTGGCACTTAAGGAATAAGACAAAATATTTTCTACTCTCCCTTGCCCTGTCTGCAGGCAGAAGAGCCTCTTCTATGACTGCCAACACTACTGGCCCATGGGGGGTTTCCACCAAATCATCATCACTTTCTCACTTAAAGCCCAAGCACTCTTTAATTAGCTTGTGATAAATTCTGCAATGTCTGGGACTCGACCTTTGGCCCAGGGCAAGTGCAGAAATGCTGACCAAGAAGACCTTAGGCCTGGACTCAGGGACTCTAAGAATCCGCTTGGTGCTCTACCCCACTGTGGTTGAGCTGGCATCTCAGGTGCAACACAGAGGTCCCTTTACTTTCCCCCCTGCTTTTCTCAAACAGAAGTCTTTCACCATAGATCCCACAGCTGGAAATGTACTGGGTCACACTTGAAGTTGGCGCTTCTCAGAGCCCAATGCCCATGGTGTATTACCTGGTTGTCACTGTTTTTTATTCTGGGTACAGGGGTTCTTTAGTCAGCAGGTGATGAATTCTGCCAGATCTTTACTGACATGGCAGCACTGAGTTTAATGCAAAGTCCTCCAGTCACTGTGCTCTCCCTCTCCCAAATTCACAGGTTTCTCTGTGTTGTGTGGCTGCTGCTAGGTGGGAGTGGGGGAGTGGTGTTGTGAGCACTCCCTTTGCTTCTCTGGCTGCTGTCTCAGTAGACTCCATTCTCCCCACCCTCCACATTCCACTGGCTCTGAGCCCAGCTCGGAATATGACTTGCCTAATAATTGAAGTCCTTGTGGCTTAGAATTCCCCTTAAGTTCTCTTAGAGTCCAATAGCACGTCAACTCATGATGGCAAGACTTGCAAAAACTGAAGCTCCCAATACTGGGATGGGAGGTTTTCCTCTTTGTAAGGCCAATACAAGTGCTTCCCCCATTGGGAGATGTCAGCTGAGTACAGTCTGGTTCTGCTTTTCACTGTGACAGGGTAGTACTGAGTTTATTGCAAAGCCTCACAAACTATGCTCTCCCTCTCCCAAACATACTATCTCTGCACGATGTAGCCACTACTGGTGGTTGAAAAAGAGGTGGCATACTTGCTTCTAGATCATCTTTTATTTATTTGTCTTCTCCAATGTCTGTTTCAGTGATATGAAGTTAATACCAGGTACTGTGATTGCTCACCCAATTTTTGGTCCCTTTGACAGTGCTTCTTGAATGTAGTGAGTTGTGAAAATTTGGTGTTTTTGTGTGGTGGATGAGAATGTAGGCTTCTATTCTGCCCTCTTATTCTGTCTCTGCCTTAATTTTTTTAGATTCACCGAGTATATTTGCATGTTTATTACAT
Source organism: Homo sapiens (assembly GCF_000001405.40). Lineage (NCBI taxonomy): Eukaryota > Metazoa > Chordata > Mammalia > Primates > Hominidae > Homo > Homo sapiens. Next base: position 11,349,015 of record NC_000022.11, read on the forward strand.
GGATATATTGTGTGATGCTGAGCAATGTGGGATATTATTGGTCCCATCACCAAGGTAGTGAGCATATATTGTGGGATACATTTGATCCCATCACCTAGGCAGTAAGCATAGCACTCATAGTTTCTCACCCCCTGCCCTCCTCCTTCCCTCCTTCATCTAGTAGTTCTCAGTGTCTATTGTTGTCATCTTTATATTCCTGAGTACCCCATGTTTAGATCCTACTTATAGGCAAGAACATGTGGTATTTGGTTTTCTGTTCCTGTATTAATTTCCCTATGATAATGGCCTCCAGACGTATGCATGTTGCTGCACAGGACATGATTGTATTCTTTTTAATGTGTGCATAGTATTTTATGGTGTATATGTGGCACATATTTCTATCCAATTTATTGATTAACACATAAGTTAATTCCATGCCTTCTCTATTGTGAATAGCAAGATGACGCATATGCAAGTGCATGTGGGGTTTCTTTTTGTAGAATTTTTAATTTTATTTTGGACATGTACTCAGTAATGGAATTGCTGGTTGAATGGAACTTCTGTTTTAAATTCTTTGAAAAATCTCCAAACTGCTTTTCACAGTGGCTGAACTAATTTACATTCTCAACAACAGTGTATAAGCATTTCATTTTCTCTGAAGTCTAACAAGAATTTGTTGTTTTTTTACTTTTTAATAGTAGCCATTCTGACTAATATGAGATGGTATCTCACATTGATTTGCATTTCTCTGATGATTAGTGAAGGTGAACATTAAAAAAACAACTCCATTAAAACATTGACAAGGGATATAAGCAGACACTTCTTAAAAGAAGATGAGCCGGGCACAGTGGCTCAGACCTGTAATCCCAGCACTTTGGGAGGCCAGGATGAGTGGATCACAAGGTCAGGAGATCGAGACCATCCTGGCTAACACGGTGAAACCCTGTCTCTACAAAAAATACAAAAAATTAGCTGGGCGTGGTGGCGGGCGCCTGTAGTCCCAGCTACTCGGGAGGCTGAGGCAGGAGAATGGCGTGAACCCAGGAGGCAGAGCTTGCAGTGAGCCAAGATCGCACCACTGCACTCCAGCCTGTGCGACAGAGCGAGACTCCGTCTCAAAAAAAAAAAAAAAAGATATAGAAGTGGGATTTGTATTCTATCACAATAAGCTGCCTTTCCTTTGCAAATACAAAATCAAACCATTCGAAAAATCACTTTAGTTGTAGGGATTGACAGTATGTTTCCCCTTCGCTATCTCCTTTCCTCTTTTGTGATTTTTTTCGATCACTATCAATCCACTCAGCAGAGTAATCTCCATTCTTACTCTGTGTGAATTGTGGTGATGAGCTAGTCAGCTCTCTTAAAATCACTAACAAAAAGTTTTAAATTTCCTAGTTAGTAATAAGTTTTTAGCATGCCACAAGATACTCTTAGAACAAGGACTTCTGGTCCAGGCATTGTGGATTATGATGATTAGTTCTATGGATTTCTATAAGCTTTGAAATTAAGAGTTAAAAATCTAAAATAAATCGGACTTCATGTTATTTATACATTCATTGGGTTTGTTAATTATTCCACAGGAAAACAGATGAAAGACTTTTGTAGAATTCAATTCTGCTTCACCATATTTAGGGTTACAAGAAGGGAATTATATTGATGTAATTGACAGACTGAATTAACCTCAGTCATCACATGTGATTTTTCTAGAGTTTTTTTTAATGGTGCTGACATTCTCTTCAATATGTCCATGCTTAGTTGGGTTTCTGGGGGAGAGATGAGTAGCTAGTACTACCCATCTAAAACATAATGTTCATTAGTTGGAGTAATGGTGTGATATGATAGTCTTCGAGATGGTGCCCTTAATTTCTTTCCTTCCTGCATGCACATGCTGCTCTTTACATTGACAGTTAGAGTCGAATCTCCCATTTCTTGAATCTGTGCTGGTCACAATGACTTGCTTTACCAATAGGATGGAGCAGAAGTTGTATTTTAGGACTTCCAAGGCTAGGTCCTAAGAAGCTTTGTGGTATTTGCCTGTGTGCTTTGGGACCAACTACCAAGTTGTGAGCACTCCAGATAACATGGAGAGGTCAGATAGGCATCACACCCAGCAGCCAATATGCACTGCCAGCCATGTAAGTGACCCGTCTAGGCTCTTTAGCCTAGTTGAGCTTTCAGGTGAGTTCAGCAGCAGCCAACCAACCGCAACTGCAAGAAAGACTCCAAAAGAGAACTTTTGTAGTGCCCATCAACCCACAAAACCATGAGAAATAACATTATTTATAATCACTTAACAATAACAATAAACAATATTAAACTATAAATAACTCCTTAAGTTTTGGAATGGCTTACTATTCAGCAAGAGATAGCTAGAACAAGTACTAAATGTTGCACAATACTGAATAAGTGTAAGTTTAGTTGTATAATATACTTCCACATTTTAAAGGCATTGACATTTCTGGAAAGAGTGCAAAAGTGAGCACTGATTAAATGGTTCCCAAGAGAAGTTGTCTGTTGTATCTCAACATCACCATTTGCCAATGGGAGCTGTATTTTGTTTTTGGAAAATATATATTTTAATGTTCATTTTAAAAAAATACTAACAATTTTTTAGAAAGGCATATGCTATTTTGCAAAAAATTTGAGCAAACCAGAGAAGTGTAAACTTTAAGGCTCTAATCATATTTTTATGCCATTTAACCCATAAATCCAAAGTCTGATGACAAACATGTTTATCTAATACTGATATTTGGATAAATAAGTTAAACTAACATTTTTCTTTTTAAATGATAGGCCTTATAATTGGTATGATGTTGAGATGGCTGCAGTGGATGGGCTCATCACCATAATAATATTTTCTCTTTGATATTTTTTAGAATATTAAGTGACAACCAAAGGGTCTAAAACTGGGTTACACAGCAGTAATAAAATCAGAGTGACACTTACTTTGCAGCAGCAGGACTGGAATTCTTGCTCTTGGGGTTGGTGGCAGCAAACTCAATTATGGGTGTCTTCTGCTTCATGCTTGGATGGTGTGTTGGAACATTTCCTGTTTAGAACTTTCTAACACTTCCTGACTAGAGCTGTTTAAAATAGAAACAAACCCCTCTGATTTTGAATTCAGCCTGTTTATTGTTATGATTTGTTCATATGTTTCTACTCTTTAGACCGTGGCTTTCTTGTAGACAGAAGTTGTATCTTATACCTCTTTTTGTTCAGCAGCGGTGTACCTGGCACCTAGTTGAATTGTCAGGTTCGTTGAATAAGTAAAGTAAAATTATAATAGAAGTAAACTATTAAATTTATCAATTTTACTCAGAAAATATATAGCTAAGTATGACATATGAATCAATTCACTCACTGATTCAACGAACATTTTTTAATTGACTACAATATGCTATCAGCTAGGAATATGGCAGTAAACAAATCTCACCTTGTCTCAAACTTCAGTGGATCCAGGAGTCTCTAGAAGTTTAATTCTTGCTCAGTCAGCAATTCCTTTTCACTGACGACTTGACAAGAAGGTTTGAGAAGGCAAGAGTGTGTGAACTCGGCAGATGTTTGTGATGCACCTACTGTGTGCCAGACAGTGTAGTGTCACAGGATCTGCCTGTGTCTCCTAGGAAAGGTGAAAACTAAGGACAATATTTTAAACAAGAAATAATGCCAAGTATGCCACATGATGGAGAGGGAAAGCACTGGGTCCCAAGAGTATAACAAGCACTGAGCCTAGCGTGGGGTCCAGGCGTCTCTGGCATCGTGCCTTCCTAGGTCGTGGTTGTCCCTCCTTGTTGCTCCTCCTGTCTTCTTCAGTTACATCTGCTTCTCTGCATTTCCTCATTTTACAGTGTGTGGGATGCAGTCATCTCTGAACAGGAATAGGCAACTGTGCACCTGTTACACCATGCTTGATGCTCTGCATTGATGTACACTGGGCCCAGGTTTCCCTGGTGGACTCCTTGGGCCGTTCTTGTCATCTGGTTCTGAAGTCTTTGTTCACAGATGTGCACTTTCCAGATGGGGAAGCCAGAGATCTGGGGTCCTCTGATGAGGCCACTCTCGCCCTGCTTATCTTCCCTGACATACTTAACAGATGAAGCTCAGGTGGGCGATGCACCTCAGGCCACAGTGTGGACTGTTGTAACCAAGCGAGTTATAGAGGAAAGCCACCCTTTGAGAAAAATTAAGGAGTCCTTTATTAGCCAGCGACCGTGAGGCAGCTAACGCTCAAAATTCTCTTGGCCCCGAGGAAGGGGCTGGTTTTGTTTTTATACCGTGGTCTAAATAGGGGAGGGGGGAGTTTAGTTGAAGCAATTTTTACAGAAGCAGAGCTAGAGCTAGCAAACAGTTAAAAAAATTAATTGGTTACAAAAGCAGTTACAAAATAAATAAATAAATAAATAAACCATTCCAGGTGCAGGGGCTTAAACTATCACAAAGAAAGAAATACAGGGGTTTTGGGTGCCATTCACCGAGCGCGTCCCCAGGAGCTGCTGGTGCAGCTTGCCTCAATATCTTAATAGTGAGTGCATTCCTGGTCGTGCTTTGAGTCAATTTACACTAGTTATGCCCTTAAGGAAGGGAGGTAAAGGGGGCTGCACGTGAAGAAACTAAAATGGAGTCTGTCCGGCTCTCTCTCCGCTAGAAGAGAGTCACTCAGGTTAAAACAAGGTAGGGTATCACAGGACCATGTACAATTATTCAAGCTCCAGCTTCAACTCTCTTTCTTATTGCTCTCTTAGGACAGTATATTTAGATGGGAGTAAATGAAAGTAATGTTATTAGGGGATAAGATTAAAATCGATCCCACTTGTAAAAAAGGGAGTAGACTATTTGTGAGCTATAATACTTTTTTTTAGTGAAGAATCACCTTAAAACTTGGAACCTGGATATAAGATAATTCCTTCATTCTGCAAATGTTTAGTAGCAAACTATATGCCAGGACTGTGATAATTTCTAGGGATACATGATTGAATATATAGTATAAGATGCCTTGGAGTGTCAGATAGTTTCATATAAATGGCTCATGAAGTATATAGACAGTGTGGTAAAAAGAGACTACTGAGATGTGCAGAGGAGAGACAATAAAGGGTCTTTGAATGGTAGATGAATGTGTTTGGACTTTTCACTCAGGGCTGTTGAAGTTTTTGAAGGTCAGTGGTCTTAGAGTTTTGGTGTTTTCAAGCCCTGCTAAGTACTTTGTTTCTAGCTGATGATTGGCCACCATTACTGATCATCTACTGGCTCTGTCTGATTCAGCAATCCCACCGCTGAGTATTTATGCAAAGGAAAAAAATCAATGTATCAGAAAGATAACTGTACTTTTATATTTGTTGCAACACTATTCACAGTAGCACAGATATAAAATCAACCTAAATGTCCATCAACAAATGATTGGAAAAAGAAAATATAGAAAATATACACAATGAAATACTATTCAGGAGTAAAAAACAATAGAATCATAATTTTTGCAGACACATGGGTGGAACTGGAGGCCATTGTTGTAAGTGAAGCAAGCCAGACACAGAGTAAACATCGTATTTTATCACTCATAAGGGGGTGCTAAAAGATGTGAGGGTATTGATGTAGAGAGTGGAAGGATAATGGAGACTCAGAAGGGTGAAGGGATGGAAGGGGTGAACAGTGAGAAATTACTTAATGGGTACAATGTGCATTATTCCGGTGATGGATACCTAAAAGCCCTGACTTCACCACTATGCCATCCATGCTTACAGCAAAATTGCACTTGGAACCCATAAATTTATACACAAAAAGTCTTAGACTTCTCTCTCTTCTCTCATAAGCCTCAGAGCTCAGTGATCCCCTTGGATCTCCTCAGCCTGCTGAGTTTTAACTTTCCTACCTAAGGTGATTTTGGGCAGAGACAAGGGAGTGTTTCAGGAAGATATTCTCAGGCACACACTTCTAAAGAAACATTGGACACTCTTCTAGTGGCTTTTATCTAGTCACTGCTTTAAGCAAGGAATAAAACACCTGTGGCTAAAATTTTAAAAACTATGTTTCCTATTCACCCTTTAGACCTGACAGAAGAGATTTTAGGATTTTAAGGGAACAGCTTTTTCCTGACCCAAAAGGGCACAGTAGTGCAAAGGCCAACGTCACATAGGTACATTTTCCCCATCTGTAAAATAACTTTCCGATACTATTCCCACAGCTGGAATCAGTACAATGTTTTGACTGAGGTATTGGAAAAGCCTATGAGCTCATTATCATTTGAACATATGAGTAATGTAAAATTTGGCAGAATTTTATTTGAAAGGATTATTTATGCCATTTTTAATTAACTGATTTATATTACGGTTATTTCAAACAATAAAAATCAGGTTATTGTGTCGTAAGCTAGAAATATTTACAATAACACATGGTCATGATTATCTCACATGATGAATTGAAGATTAAAGCAAAATAATTTAGGGAATTCTGTGACAGTTTCTGTTTCACGTTGTTTAATAATGACTTCAAACTCTTATACATATATGGAGAACTCCTGACTAAAGAGAATTTTTTTGTCCATTGTGCTATGTTTCTGTAACTTTTTAAGATCTAGAGGAACACATATTTAGTCTCAGTTGGCCAACTAAATGTTATGGAGTCAGCTTCTGTGTTACATGCTGAGCATTGAAGGGATGGTGGAGACAAGGCTGCTGCCCTCGCAGAGTCTGCAGAGAACACCTGATGGAGTGTGACAGGGAACATGCTGGGAGCATCCCAGGATGCCAAAAGTGCACACAGATGGAACACCTGCCTTAGAAGTGGGGAGGGTCAGACAAGGAGAGTTTTCAGGAAAAACGAGGAAAATTTAATCTGCAGGAATAGAAACAAACTTGAGAAATCCACGTGGAATGAAAAGAGAATGGCTGAGCAGCAGCAGATTGTCAAAAAGGAAATCAAGAAGGAGCAGCCAAAGAGGTGGTTGGAGAACCACGAGAAAGAAGGTGACACAGGAAGGGGAATATCACACTCTGGGGACTGTTGTGGGGTGGGGGGAGGGGGGAGGGATAGCATCGGGAGATATACCTAATGCTAGATGAAGAGTTAGTGGGTGCAGCGCACCGGCATGGCACATGTATACATATGTAACTAACCTGCACAATGTGCACATGTACCCTAAAACTTAAAAGTATAATAATTTAAAAAAATCATAAAAAAAAAGAAAGAAGGTGACACTGAAGCCAAGGGAAAGAAAGTGTTTCAACATTTCTGGGAAAAAAAATGACATTCTCTGTCTTAACCTTGTTATTTTATGAGTCACATAGCCACATTCCAGGTTCTGAGAAGTCCAGAACTAAAGATGTTTCTTTTAGTTTGCTTAACCCAGCATTTGCCAGAATAATCTGGGCTCAGTGTGAGTGTGTGTGTGTGTGTGTGTGTGTGTGTGTGTGTGTGTGTGCGCGCCTCTGTGTTCCACTAATATCTCTCTGGGGCTAGTGCTCTATACAACATAATTTTTAAAACACTGGTTTTATCCATCTTATTATGTTCAGCTGCAGCAATACTTACAAAGGTCAACTTTGATTATGTGTCCTATTTACTAAAGAAAACAAAACAAACTAATGAATAAAGCCCACCTGGCAGTGGCTCCTGACTACCTGTACGATGGAGCTCAGCTATTTTGGTCTGCGTGCCCTATGCCGACCTGGCCGTGCTGTCTTCTGCCTGCAGCTTTGCCTCCCCTTTCCTCCTGGAGAAGGTAGAGATGCTCTGAGATTTGGCTCGTCTGGAACATATGTCCTTCTCCTCATGTGGACCATGTTTTCCTGAGTCCACTTTAATCTCGTTTAAGGGTATAGAACTTTACTTAAAGCTTCTGGTCAGGTCTCACTCTCTATGCTGTCTTCCTGCCACTTCTACAATGTACATAATTTACTGATACATTAATTATGCTATATCAGCCAAGGGTTTTACTTCTATATCATTTTATATCATCATCTTTTTTTCTTAGAGCTTAGTTCACTTATTTATTCAGTCTTTCCACACTATAATTGTATGTCATATAATTTTATATTTATTTTCATTGGTGTTTATATATCTTTTCTGTAAAAATGGAGGCTTTCTAAATAGATCTTCATTAATGTTGAGAGAACAAGGTTTTAAGTCTTGGTCTCAGCCAAAAGGAGTTCCCCGCATTACCAGGAGGGAAAGAAACACTTGCATTGTTGCATTAGATATTCTTACAGAGAAAGAGAACCGTGTGTAATGGAAAATTGCTAACTTTGCCTCAGGGGGACTAGGTTGATTCGGTGAGAAAGTTTCTATTGGTTTAGAAAGCATAGTTCTGAGTTTTCTAGGAGAAGGAGAAAAGTTAGAGTAGGGCATAAGAAGTAATGCCCATATCAAAAAGTTAGAAAGATCTCAAATTAACCACCTAACATCACAACTGAAAGAATTAGAGAAGCAAGAAGAACTCAATCACAAAGCTTATAGAAGACAAGAAATAACTGCAATCAGAGCTGAACTGAAAGAAATTGAGACAAGAAAAACTGTTCAAAAGATCACTTAATCAAGGTTTTATGAAAAAAATAATAAGATAGATAGGGCACTAGCTAGACTAATAAAGAAGAAAAGAGAAAAGATTCAAATAAACAAAATTAGAAATGATGAAGGGAATGTTACCACTGACCCCAGAGAAATAAAAATAACAACCAGCAACTACTATGAACACCTCTACACACACAAAGTAGAAACCCCAGAAGAGATGAATAAATTCCTGGACACATAGACTCTCTCAAGACTGAACCAGGAAGAAATTTAGTCTCTGAACAGACCAATTATGAGCTCCAAAAATTGAATCCATAATAAATAGCCTACCAACCCCCCCCCCAAAAGCCCAGGACCTGATAGATTAACAAATTTTAACAGATGTACAAAGAAGAGCCACTACTAGTCCTACTAAAACTATTTCAAGAAATACAGGAGGAGGGACTCTTCCCCAGCTTGTTCTATGAGACCAGAATCATCCTGATACCAACGCCTGGAAGTGACACAACAAAAAAAGAAAACTTCAGGCCAGTATCCTTGATGAACATCCATTCAATAATGTACAACAAAATATTTGCAAACTGAATTTAGCAACACATCAAAAGGCTAATTCACCATAGTGAACTAAGCTTCTTCCCTGGAATGAAAAGTTGGTCCATCATGGGCAAATCAATAAAATGCGATACGTAACATAAATAGAACTAAAGATAAGAACCAGGTGATTGTCTCAACAGATGCAGAAAAGGCTTTCAGTAAAATTCAACAAAGCTTCATGTTAAAAATTCTCAATAAATGAAGTATCGAAAGAACATACCTCAAAATAATAAAGGCCACCTATGACAAACTCACAGCCAACATTATACTAAATGGGCAAAATCTGGACGCATTCTCCTTGAAACCCACACAAGACAAGGATGCCCTCTCTCACTACTCCTATTCAACATAGTATTAGAAGTCCTTTCTGGAGCAATCAGACAAGAGAAAGAAATGAAACATATTTAAATAGAAAGGGAAGTCCAACTATATGTGTTTGCAGACAACATAATTCTCTATCTAAACCCTATAGTTGTGACCCAAAAGCTCTTTAAGCTGATAAACAACTTCCACAAAGTTTCAGGACACAAAATCAATGTACAAAATTTGCTAGCATTCCTATACACCAAGAAGAGTCAAACTAAGAGCCAAATCAGAGAGGCAATTTTATTCACAATTTCCACAAAAAGAATAAAACATGTACGAATACAGCTAACCAGGGAGTTGAAAAATCTCTACAATGAAAATTACAAAACACTGCTCAAAGAAGTCAGAGAAGACATAAACAAATGAAAAATCATTCCATGTTAATGGAGAGAAAGAATTAATATAATTTAAATGGTTGTACCGCCTAAAGCTATTCCTATTAAACTACCAATGACATGATTCATGGAAGTAGAAAAAAGCTATTTAGAAATTCATATAGAACCAAGAAAGAATCTAAGTAGCTAAGGCAATCCTAAGCAAAAAGAACAAAGCTTGAGGCATCACATTACCCGACTTCAGACTATACTATAGCACTATAGTAACCAAAGCAGCATGGTACTAGCACAAAAACAGACACATCCACCAATGGAACAGAATAGAGAAGTTAGAAATAAGACCACATACCTACAGCTATCTAATCTTTGACAAAGCTGTGAAAAACAAGCAATGGGGAAAAGATTCCCTATTCAATAAATGATGCTGGAATAACTGGCTAGCCATATGCAGAAGATTGAAGTTGGACTTCTTCCTTATACCATATGCAGAAATCAATCCAAGATGGGTTAAATACTTAAATGTAAAACCCAAAACTATAAAAGCCCTGGAAGGCAACCTAGGCAATACCATCCTGGATGTAGAAACAGGCAAAGATTTCATGATAAAGACACCAAAAACAACAAATGCAACTATTGACAAGTAGGATCTAATTAAACTTAAAAGCTTCCACTCAGCAAAAGAAATTATCAATAGAGTGAACAGACAACATATAGAATGAGAAAAAATATTTACAAACTATGTATCTGACAAAGATCTAATATTCAATATAAGGAACTTAAATTTACAAGAGATAAACAAAAAACCCTATTAAAAAGTGGCCAAAGCCCTGACTTCTGAATGGCTCTTCTGGACCCAGCCAGGGACTGAGGGATCTCACTGCCCTAAAGAAAAGAACACAGGACTGTCTGGCTTTGCCACCTGCTAATTGTAGAGACCAAAGGCCTTGAGTGAACATAGGCAGTCGTCAGAAAGTGCATGCAGCAGAACTTGAGCAAGACCCTGTGCTGTGCTAGCTTCAGGTCTGATCCAGGGCAGTCATAGTGGTGGTGGCCAGGGGTGCTTGTGTCTTTCTTCTCCCAGCTTTAGGTGGCTTAGAATAGAGAGAAAGACTCTGTATCTTTGAGAGAAAATAAGGGTAGGGAAAAAGTCTCTGGCTAGTAATCCAGAAAATTCTCCTGGATCTTGTTGAAGGCTGTCAAGGTGGTACTTCTCTGAGTCTGGAAGAATTACTGCATTATTGGGTATAAGGTGCCCCATAAAGCAGACATGGCTTAGATCACAACACCCAAGTCTTTTCAAATATGTGAAAAGCCTTCCCAAGAAAGACAGCTACAAATAAGCACAGACAGTGAAGACTACAATAAATACTCACCTATACTCTTTTTAAATTTTATTTTTTAAACCTCTCATATGGTGCTACATGCCCAAGATTTTAATGTCCAGACACTGAAGAACATCTACTAGCATCAACACCATCCAGGAAAACATGACCTCACCAAGTGAACTAAATAAGGTACCAGGGACAAATCCTGGAGAAAAAGAGATATGTGACCTTTCAGACAGAGAATTCAAAATAGCTGTATTAAAAAAAAAAAAAACTGAAAGAAATTTAAGGTAACAAAGTAAAGAAATTCCAAATTTTATCAGCTAAACTCAACAAAGAGATTGAAATAGTTACAGCGAATTAAGCAGAAATTCTGGAGCTGAAAAATGCAGTTGGCATGCTGAAGAATGCATTAGAGCCATGTAATAGCAGAATGCATCAAGCAGAGAAGACAGGCTCTTTAAAAATACATAGAAGAGACAAAAGAAACAGAATAAAACAACAAATCATGCCTACAGGATCTAGAAAATAACCTCACAAAGACAGATCTAAGAGTTATTGGTTTTAAAGAAGATGTAGAGAAAGAGGCAGGGGAGGATCTAGAAAATCGCCTCACAAAGACAAACCTAAGACAGACCCAAGCCACGTCCCGTGAGCAGGCTCGGCGCCACTGCTTCCGCCATAGGCAGGAGCACTCTACAACTTTCAGGGCCCACAGCACCAAGAGGATAGGAGGAGCCAACAAAGGAATGACGCTAGGAAGCTCACACCCAAAGCAACCAACCAATCCAAGTAAAAACATGTCTCATGGCTCTGTTGGTTTTCCCGCGTGGGCAGCCCTGCCCACCTCTTCCAGCCCGGCCCAGGTACCCTCGACCCTACCCTCGCCAAGGGGGCCCCTATCTACCAGAGCAGAGCCTCCCTCTCCAAGGCTCTGTTGCTCCCCCTCTCTAGCTCCCTCACCCACTCCTTTTCTCTACTTCCCTCTCCACCTTGCGTGCTCTCTCTCTCAATCTCCCCAGTTCTTCTCTGTCTTTCTCTCGATCGCTGTTTCTCACTCTCCTTCCGTTTCTATCTCTCCATCTCTCTGTCCCTTGTTCTTCAAGCTGTCTGTGTCTTTGTGTGTCTGTGTGTGTGCTTGTGTTCCCGCGCGTGCGCCCGTGTGTGTCTGTGTGTTTGGGAGTGGGTTTGCTAGTGACTGTGGTGGGGTGTGTCTGGATGTCCGTCAGAACTTTTGTGCCGGGATCAGGCTGCCAACTCTTAGCCAGCGCTTGGGTGTCACAGTTGCCGTAATAGTCTCACACACGCAGGTGTGTGGATCTCGTTTATTTTCATGTAGACAAGGAGAGCAAAACCACAGAGAAAAGAAATGTCCCATGCATCAGGTCCTGACGAAGAATTCCTGTTTCCTGAAAAATGGGGAGTCTCCAATATAGCCTGTTTGAAAACTGGAAAGGAGAGCACCGACACAATGCTGGTCTTCCATGTATTCCTGGAAGTTTCTGGGGCCCCACAGAGGTCGGGAAACAGTCAACATGATCACACTTTCCGGGGTGCAGAGACTTGTCCTGGGCCCACTGTCTGGCATGCCCTAGTGAGATGAACACAGAACCTGAGAAGGAAATGCAGAAATCACCGATCTTCTGCGTCGCCCACGCTGGGAGCTGTAGACTGGAGCTGTTCCTATTCGGACATCATCCGGAGAACCTTCCTTGTGATGTGTGCATTCATCTCACAGAGTTGAACATTTCTTTTGATTGAGCAGTTTTAAAACACTGTTTTTGTAGAATCTGCAAGTGGATATTTGGAGCGATTTGAGGCCTATTGTGGAAAAGGAAATTTCTTCACATAAAAACTACACAGAAGCATTATGAGGAACTTCTTTGTGATGTGAGCCTTCATCTCACAGAGTTGACATATTCTTCTGATTGAGCAGTTTTGAAACACTCTATTTGTAGAATCTGCAAGTGGATATTTGGAGCACTTTGAGGCCTATTGTGACAAAGCAAATATCTTCACATAAAAACTACAAAGAAGCATTCTGAGAAACTATTTGGGGATGTGTGCATTCATTTCACAGAGGTGAAACTTTCCTTTGATTGAGCCGTTTTGAAACACTCTTTTGTAGAATCTGCAAGTCGATATTTGCAGCCCTTTAAGGCCTAGTGTGGAAAAGGAAATATCTTCACATAAAAACTACACAGAAGCATTCTGAGAAACGTCTTTGTGATGTGTGCATTCATCTCACAGAGTTGAACATTTTTTTGATTGAGCAGTTTTGAATCTCTCTTCTTGCAGAATCTGCAGGTGGATATTTGGAGCCCTTTGAGGCCTACTGTGGAAAAGCAAATAACTTCACATAAAAACTACACAGAAGCTCCCTGAGAAACTTCTTTGGGATGTTTGTATCCAAGTCACAGAGTTGAACCTATCTTTTGATTCAGCAGTTTGAATCTCTCTTTTTGCAGACTCTGCAATTGGATATTTGGAGCCCTTTGGGGCCTATGGTGGAAAAGGAAATATCTTCAGATAAAAACTACACAGAAACATTCTGAGAAACTTCGTTGTGATGTGTGCATTCATCTCACAGGGTTGAACCTATCTTATGATTGAGCAGTTTAGAAACAGTCTTTTTGTAGAATCTGCAAGTGGAAAATTGGAGCGCTTTGAGGCCGACCGTAGAAAAGCAAATATCTTCACATAAAAACTACACAGAAGCATTCAGAGAAACTTCCTTGTGATGTATGCATTCAACTCACAGAGTTGAACCTATCTTTGATTGAGCTGTTTTGAATCACTCTTTTTGCAGAATCTGCAGGTAGATATTTGGACCCTTGGAGGCTTACTGTGGAAGTGGAAATATCTTCACATAAAAACTATACAGAAACATTCTGAGAAACTACTTTGGGATACGTACATTCAACTCACAGAGTTGAACCTATCTTTTGATTGAGCAGTTTTGAATCTCTCTTTTTGCAGAATCTGCAAGTGGATATTTGGAAGCCTTTGCAGCCTAAGGTGGAAAAGGAAATATCCTTAAATAAAAACTACACAGAAGCATCCTGAGAAACTTCTTTGTGATGTGTGCATTCATCTCAGAGAGTTGAACCTTTCTTTTGATTCTGCAGTTTTGATACACTTTTTGTAGAATCTGTAAGTGAATAATTGGAGCCCTTTGAGGCCTATTGTGGAAAAAGAAATATCTTCACATAAAAACTACTCGGAAACAATCTGAGAAACTTCTTTGTGATGTGTACATTCAATTCAAAGAGATGAACCTATCTTTTGATGGACCAGTTTAGAATCTCTCTTTTTGTAGAATGTGCAAGTGGATATTTGGAGCCCTTTGTGACCTATGGTAAAAAAGGAAATATCTTCATATAACAACTTCACAGAAGCATTCTCAGATACTACTTCGTGATGTGTGCATTCAACTCACAGAGTTGAACCTGTCCTTTGATTGAGCAGTATTGAATCTCCCTTTTTGTAGAATCTGCAAGTGGATATTTGGAGCGCTGTGAGGTCTACTGTAAAAAATCAAATATGTTCACATGAAAACTACAAAAAAGCATTCTGAGAAACTTCTTTGTGATGTGTGCATTCAACTCACAGAGTTGAACCTATCTTTTAATTGAGCAGTTTTGAATCTCTCTTTTTGCAGTATCTGCAAGTGGATAATTGGAGTGCTTTCAGGTCTAATGTGGAAAAGCAAATATCTTCACACAAAAACTACACAGAAGCATTCTGAGAAACTTCTCTGTGATGTGTGCATTCATCTCACAGAGTTGAACCTTTAATTTCATTGAGCAGTTTTGAAACTCTTTTTGTAGGATCTGCAGGGGATATTTGGAGCCCCTAGAGGACTATTGTGGAAAAGGAAATATCTTCTCATAAAAACTACACAGAAGCATTCAGAGAAACTTCTTTGTGATGTGTGCATTCATTTCACAGAGTTGAACATTTCGTTTTATTGAGCAGTTTTGAAACACTCTTTTTGTAGAATCTGCAAGTGGTTAATTGGAGCCCTCTGTGGCGTATTGTGGAAAAAGAAATATCTTCACATAAAAACTACTCATAAGCATTCTGAGAAACTTCTTTGTGATGTGTGCATTCAACTCACAGAGTTGAACCTATCTTTTGATTATGCAGTTTAGAATCTCTCTCTTTGTAGAATCTGCAAGTGGCTATTTGGAGCCTTTTGGGCCCTATGATGGTAAAGGACATATCTTCAAATAAAAACCACACAGAAGAATTCTGAGAAAGTTCTATGTGATGTGTGCATTAAACTCACAGATTTGAACCTATATTTTGATTGAGCAGTTTTGAATCTCTCTTTTTGTAGAATCTGCAAGTGGATATTTGCAGCCCTTTGAGGCCTACTGTGGAAAATCAAATATGTTCACATAAAAAAAACACAGAAGCATTCTGAGAAACTTCTTTGTGATGTGTGCATTCAACTCCCAACGCTGAACTACCTTTTGACTGAGCAGTTTTGAATCTCTCTTTTTGCAGAATCTGAAAGTGGATATTTGGAGAGCTTTGAGGACTATTTTGGAAAAGCAAATAACTTCAAATAAAAACTACACAGAAGCATTCTGAGAAACTTCTTTGTGAGGTGTGCATTCAACTCACAGAGTTGAACTTATCTTCTCATTGAGAAGTTTAGAATCTGTCTTTTTGTAGAATCTGCAAGTGGATATTTGGAGCGCTTTGAGGCCTACTATGGAAAAGCAACTATCTTCAGATAAAAACTACACAGAAGCATTATGAGAAACTTCTTTGTGATGTGTGCATTCATCTCACAGAGTTGAACCTTTCTTTTGATTGAGCAGTTTTGAATCTGTCTTTTTGCAGAATCGGTAGGTTTATATTTGGAGCCTTTGAGGTCTACTGTGTGAAAGCAAATATCTTCACTTAAAGACTACACAGAAGCATTCTGAGAAAATCCTTTGGGATGTGTGAATTCATCTCACAGAGTTGAACTTTTCTTTTGATTGAGCAGTTTTGAAACACTCTTTTGTAGAATCTGCAAGTGGATAATTGGAGCCCTTTGAGGCCTATTGTGGAAAAGCAAATATCTTCACATAAAAACTACTCAGAAGCATTCTGAGAAACTTCTTTGTGATGTGAGCATTGAACTCACAGAGTTGAACCTACTTTTTGATTGAGCAGTTTAGAATCTCTCTTTTTGTAGAATTTGTAAGTGGATATTTGGAACCCTTTGCACCCTGAGGTGGAAAAGAAAATATCTTCAAACAAAAAATTCACAGAAGCATTCTCAGAAACTACTTAGTGATGTGTGCATTCAACTCACAGAGCTGAACATATCTTTTGATTAAGCAGTTTTGAATCTCTTTTGCAGAATCTGCAGGATGATATTTGTAACTCTTTAAGGCCTTCTGTGGAAAAGCAAATATCTTCACTTAAAAACTACACAGAAGCATTCTTGGAAAATTCTTTGGAATGTGTGAATTCAACTCACAGGTTTGAACCTTTCTTCTGATTGAACGGTTTTGAATCTCTCTCTTTGCAGAATCTGCAAGTGGATATTTGAAGCCCTTTGCGGCCAATGGTGGAAAAGGACATATTTCAAATAAAAACTTCACAGAAACATTCTGAGAAACTTCTTTGTGATGTATGCATTCATCTCACAGGATTGAGCCTATCTTATGATTGAGCAGTTTTGAAACACTCTTTTTGTAGAGTCTGCAGGTGGATATTTGGAGTGCTTTGAGACCTACCATGGTAAAGCAAATATCTTCACATAAAAACTACACAGAAGCATTCTGAGCAACTTCTTAGTGATGTGTGCATTGTACTCACAGTGTTGAACCTATCTTTTGATTGAGCAGTTTAGAATTTGTCTTTTTGTAGAATCTGCTCGTGGATATTTGGAGCCCTTGCACCCTATGGAGGAAAAGTAAATATCTTCGTATAAAAACTACACAGAAGCATTCTCAGAAACTTCATCGTAATGTGTGCATTCAACTCACAGAATTGAACCCAGCTTTTGATTGAGCAGTTTTGAATCTCTCTTTTTGTAGAATCTGCAAGTGGATATTTGGAGCACTGTGAGACCTAATGTGGAAAATCAAATATGTTCACATAAAAACTACAAAGAAACATTCTGAGAAACTTCTTTGTGATGTGTGCATGCAACTCACAGAGGTGAACCTACCTTTTGATTGAGCAGTTTTGAATTTCTCCTTTTGCAGAATATGCAGGTAGAGGTTTGGAGATCTTTGAGACCAATTGTGGAGAAGAAAATATCTTCACATAAAAAGTACACAGAAGAATTCTGAGAAACTTCTTTGTGAGGTGTGCATTCAACTCACAGAGTGGAACTTATCTTCTCATTGACCAGTTTTGAATCCCTCTTTTTGTAGAATCTGCAAGTGGATATTTGAAGCCCTTTGGCCCTATGGTGGAAAAAGAAATATCTTCAAATAAAAACTACACAGAAGTAATCGGAGAAACTTCTTTGTGATGTATGCATTCAACTCACAGAGTTGAAGCTATCTTTTGATTAAGCAGTTTTCAATCTCTCTTTTTGCGGAATCTGCAGGTTTATATTTTCAGCCCTTTGAGGCATACTGTGGAAAAGAAAATATCTTCACTTAAAGCTACTCAGAAGCATTCTGAGAAGCTTCTTTGTGATGTGTGCATTCAACTCACAGAGTTGAACTTATCTTTTGATTGAGAAGATTTGAATTTCTCTCTTTGTAGAATCTGCAAGTGGATATTTGGAGCCCTTTGCACACTATGGTGGAAAAGGAAATATCTTCAGACAAAAACTACACAGAAGCATTCTCAGAAACTTCTTCATGATGTGTGCATTCAACTGACAGAGTTGAACCTATCTTTTGATTGAGTAGTTTTGAGTCTCTCTTTTGTACAATCTTCAAGTGGATATTTGGAGCGCTGTGAGGCCTACTGTGGAAAATAAAATATCTTCATATAAAAACTACACAGAAGCATCTGAGAAATTTCTTTGTGATGTGTGCATTCATATCACAGGGTTAAACTTTTCTTTTGATTGAGCAGTTTTGAAACACTCTTTTTGAAGAATGTGCAATTGGATAATTGGAGCCCTTTGTGGCCTACTGTGGAAAAGGATATATCTTCACATAAAAACTACTCAGAAACATTCTGAGAAACTTCTTGGTGATTTGTGCATTCAACTCACAGAGTTGAAACTATCTTTTGAATGAGCAGTTTAGAATCTCTCTTTTTGCAGAATCTGCAAGTGGATGTTTGGAGAGCTCTGAAGCGTATTGTGGAAAAGCAAATATCTTCACATAAAAACTACACAGAAGCATTCTGAGAAACTTCTTTGTGATTTGTGCATTCAACTCACAGAGTTGAACCTATCTTTAGATTGAGCAGTTTAGAATCTCTCTTTTTGTAGGATATGCAAGTGGATATTTGGAGCCCTTTGCCCTCTATGGTGGAAAAGGAAGTATCTTCAAATAAAAACCACAGAGAAGCATTCTCAGAAACTTCTTCATGATGTATGCATTCAACTCACAGAGTTGAAGCTATCTTTTGATTGCGCAGTTTTGAATCTCTCTTTTTGCCGAATCTGAAGGTGGATACTTGGAGCCATTTGAATGCTACTGTGGAAAAGAAAATACCTTCACAAAAAAACTACACAGAAGCATTCATAGAAACTTCTTTGGGATGTGTGCATTCAACTCACAGAGTTGAAATTATCTTTTGATTGAGCAGTTTTGAATCTCTCTTTTTGCAGAATCTGCAAGTGGATATTTGGAGCCCTTTGTGGCCTATGGTGGAAAAGGAAATATCTTCAAATAAAAACTGCACGGAAACATTGCAAGAAACTTCTTTGTTATGTGTTCTTTCATCTCACAGGGTTGAACTTATCTTATGATTCAGCAATTTTGAAACACTCTTTTTGTAGAGTCTGCAAGTGGATATTTGGAGCGAATTGAGGCCTAGCATGGAAAAGCTAATATCTTCAGATTAAAACTACATAGAAGCATTCTGAGAAACTTGTTTATGATGTGTGCATTCATCTCACAGAGTTGAGCCTTTCTTTTGATTGAGCAGTTTTGAAACACTCTTTTTCTAGAATCTTCAATTGGATATTTGGAGCCCCTTGAGGCCTATAGTGGAAAAGGAAATATCTTCCCATAAAAACTACACAGAAGCATTCTGAGAAACTTCTTTGTGATATAGGCATTCATCTCACAGAGTTGAACTTTACTTTTGATTAGGCAGTTTTGAAACTCTCTTTTTGTAGAATCTGCAAGTGGATAATTGGAGCCCTTTGAGGCCTATTGTGGAAAAGGAAATATCTTCACATAAAAAACTACTCAGAAGCATTCTGAGAAACTACTTTGAGATGTGTGTGTTCAACTCACAGAGTTCAACCTCTCTTTCAATTGAGCGGTTTAGACTCTCTATTTTTGTAGAATCTGCAAGGGAATATTTGGGGCCCTTTGCACCCTATGGTGGAAAAGGAAATATCTTCAAATAAAAACTACACAGAAGCATTCTCAGAAACTTCTTCATGATGTGTGCATTCAACTCACAGATTTGAACCTATCTTTTGATTGAGCAGTTTTGAATCTCTCTTATAGATTCTGCAAGTGGATATTTGGAGCGCCGTGAGGCCTATTGTGGAAAATCAAATATGTTCACATAAAAACAACACAGAAGCATTCTGAGAAACTTATTTGTGATGTGTGCATTCAACTCACATAGTTGAACCTATCTTTTGATTGAGTAGTTTTGAATCTCTCTTTTTGCAGAATCTGCAAGGGGATGTTTGGAGAGCTTTCAGGCATATTGTGGAAAGGGAAATATTTTCACATAAAAACTACACAGAACCATTCTGAGAAACTTCTTTGTGTCGTGTGCATTCAACTCACAGAGTTGAACATATGTCCTCTTTGAGCAGTTTTGCGTCTCTCTTTTTGTAGAATGTACAAGTGGATATTTGGAGCCCATTGTGTCCTATGGTGGAAAAGGAAATATCTTCAGATAAAAATTACACAGAAGAATTCTGAGAAACTTCTTTGTGATATGTGCATTTATCTCACAGGTTTGAACCTACCGTTTTATTGAGCAGTTTTGAAACACTGTTTTTGTAGAATCTGCAAGTGGATATTTAGAGGGAATTGAGGCCTACCGTGGAAAAGCATATACCTACAAACAAAAACTAAACAGAAGCATTCTGAGAAACTTCTTAGTGATGTGTGCATTCGTCTCACAGAGTTGAAACTTTCCTTTGATTGAGCAGTTTTGAAACACTCTTTTTGTAGAATCTGCAACTGGATATTTGGAGCCCTTTGAGGAATATTGTGGAAAAGGAAATATCTTCACATAAAAACTACACAGAAGCATTCTGAGAAACTTCTTTATGAGGAGTCCATTCAACCCACAGAGTTAAACTTTTCTTCTCATTGAGCAGTTTTGAATCTCTCTATTTGTAGAATCTGCAAGTGGATATTTGCTGCCCTTTGAGGCATACTGAGGAAAAGCAAATATCTTCATATAAAAACTACACAGAAGCATTCTGAGAAACTTCTTTGGGATGTGTGCATTCAACTCACAGAGTTGAACCTATCTTTTGATTGAGCAGATTTGAATCTCTCTTTTGGCAGAAACTGCAAGTAGATATTTGGAGCCATTTGCGGCCTTTGGTGGAAAAAGAAATATTTTCAAATAAAAACTAAACAGAAACATACTGAGAAACTTCTTTGTGATGTGTGCATTCATCTCACAGGGTTGAAACTATCTTATGATTGAGCAGTTTTGAAACACTCTTTTTGTAGAATCTGCAACTGGATATTTGGAGCCCTTTGAGGGCTATTGTGGAAAAGTAAATATCTTCACATAAAAACTATTCAGGAGCATTCTGATAAACTTCTTTGTGATGTATGCATTCAACTCACAGACTTGAACCTATCTTAAGAATGAGCAGTTTTGAATCTCTCTTTTTGCAGAATCTGCAACTGGATATTTTGAGGGCCTTAAGGCCTACCGTGGAAAAGCAATTATCTTCAGATTAAAACTACACAGAAGCATTCAGAGAAACATCTTTGTGATGTTTGCATTCATCTCACAGAGTTAAAACTTTCTCTTGATTGAGCAGTTTTGAAACACTCTTTTTGTAGAATCTGCAAGTGGATATTTGGAGCCCTTTGAGGCCTGTTGTGGAAAAGGAAATATCTTCCCATGAAAACTACATAGAAGTATTCTGAGAAACTTCTTTGCAATGTGTGCATTCAACTCACAAGAGTTGAACCTATCTTTTGATTGAGGATTTTTGAATCTTTCTTTTTGCAGAATCTGCAAGTGTATGTTTGCAAAGCTTTGTGGCCTATTGTGGAAAAGGAAATGTCTTCACATAAAAACTACACATAAATATTCTGGGAAAGTTCTTTGTGGTGCGTGCATTCATGTCATAGAGTTGAAACTTTCTTTTGATGGAGCAGTTTTGAAACACTCTTTTTGTACAATCTGCTAGTGGATAATTGGAGCCCTTTGAGGACTATTGTGGAAAAGGAAATATCTTCAAATAAAAACTACACAGAAGCATTCTGATAAACTTCTTTCTGATGTGTGCATTCAACTCACAGAGTTGAACCTATATTTTGATTGAGCAGTTTAGAAGCTCTCTTTTTGCAGAATCTGCAAGTGGATGTTTGGAGAGCTTTGAAACCTATTATGGAAAAGCAAATATCTTCACATAAAAACTACACAGAAGCATTCTGAGAAACTTCTCTGTGAGGTGTGCACTCAACCCACAGAGTTTAACTTATTTTCTCATTGAGCAGTTTTGAATCTCTCTTTTTATAAAATCTGCAGGTAGATATTTGGAGCTCTTTGAGCCCCATGGTGGAAAAGGAAATATCTTCAAATAAAAACTACACAGAAGCATTCATAGAAATTTCTTTGTGATGTATGCATTCAACTCACAGAGTTGAAACTATCTTATTATTGAGCAGTTTTTAATCTCTCTTTTGCAGAATCTGCAAGTGGATATTTGGAGCGCTTTGAGGCCTACTGTGGAAAAGCAAATAACTTCAGATAAAAGCTACACAAAAGCTTTCTGAGAAACTTTTTTGCGATGTGTGCATTCAACTCACAGAGTTGAAACTTTCTTTTGATTGAGCAGATTTGAAACACTCTTTTTGTAGAAACTGTAAGTTGATATTTGGAGCCCTTTGAGGCCTATTGTGGAAAAGGAAATATCTTCACATAAAAACTACATAGAACCATTCTGAGATACTTCTTTTTGATGTTTGCATTCATCTCACAGTGTTGAAACTTTCTTTTGATTGAGCAGTTTTGAAACACTCTTTTTGTAGAATCTGCAAGTGAATAATTGGAGCCCTTTGAGGGCTATGGTAGAAAAGGAAATATCTTCAAATAAGAACTACAAAGAAACATTCTCAGAAACTTATTTGTGATGTGTGCATTCAACTCACAGGGCTGAACATATCTTTTGATTTAGCAGTTTTGAATTTCTCTTTTTGTAGAATTTGCAAGTGGATATTTGGAGCACTGTGAGACCTACTGTGGGAAATGAAATATGTTCACATAAAAACTACTCAGAAGCATTCTGAGAAACTACTTTGTGATGTGTGCATTCAACTCACAGAGTTGAACCTATCTTTTGATCGAGCAGTTTTGAATCTCTCTTTTTGCAGAATCTGCAAGCGGATGTTTGGAGAACGTTGAGGCTTATTATGTAAAAGGGAATATTTTCACATAAATACTACACAGAAGCATTCTGAGAAACTTCTTTGTGATGTGTGCATTCATCTCACAGAGTTGAACCTTTCTTTTGATTGAGCAGTTTTGAAACACTCTTTTGTAGAATCTGCAAGTGGATATTTGGAGCCCTTTGAGGCCTACTGTGGATAAGGAAATATCTTCATATAAAAACTACACAGAAGCATTCTGAGAAACTTCTTTGTGATGTGTGCATTCATCTCACAGAGTTGAACTTTTCTTTGGATTGAGCAATTTTGGAACACTCTTTTTGTAGAATCTGCAAGTGGATAATTGGAAACCTTTGAGGACTAACATGGAAAAGGAAATATCTTCACATAGAAACTACTCAGAAGCATTCTGTGAAACTACTTTATGATGTGTACATTCAACTCACAGATTTGAACCTATCTTTTGATTGAGCACTTTAGAATCTCTCTTTTTGTAGAATCTGCAAGTGGATAACTGGAGTCCTTTCCGCCCTAAGGTGGAAAAAGGAATATATTCAAATAAAAACTGTACAGAAGCATTCTCAGTAACTTCTTCGTAATGTGTGCATTAAACTCACAGAGTTCAACCTTTCTTTTCATTGAGATGGTTTGAATCTCTCTTTTTGAAGAATCGGCAAGTGGATATTTGGATCACAGTGAGGCCTACTGTGGAAAATCAAATATGTTCACATAAAAACTACACAGAATCTTTCTGAGAAACTTCTTTGCAATGTGTGCATTCATCTCACAGGGTTGAACCTATCTTATGATGGAGCAGTTTTGAATCATTCTTTATGTAGAATCTTCAAGTGTATATTTGGAGCGCTTTGAGACCTACCGTGGAAAAGCCAATATCTTCAGATAAAAACTACACGGAAGCATTCTGAGAAACTGCTTTATGATGTGTGCATTCATCTCACAGAGTTGAACCTTTCTTTTGATTGAGCAGTTTTGAAGCACTCTTTTTATAGAATCTGCAAGTGGATATTTCGTGTGCTTTGAGTCCTACTGTGGAAAGGGAAATATCTTCACATAAAAAATACTCAGAGGAATTCTGAGAAACTTCTTTGTGATGTATGCATTCAACTCACAGAGTTGAACCTATCTTTAGATTGAGCAGTTTGGAATCTCTCTTTTTGCAGTATCTGCAAGTGGATATTTGGAGCCCTTTGCGGCTTGTGGTGGAAAAGAAAATATCTTCACACAAAAACTAATCAGAAGCATTCTTAGAAACTTCTTTCTGACGTGTGCATTCAACTCACAGAGTTGAACCTATCTTTTCATTAAGCAGTTTAAAATCTCTCCTTTGCAGAATCTGCAAGTGGATATTTGAAGACCCTTGCGGCTTATGGTGGATAAGGAAATATCTTCACATAAACACTACACAGAAGCATTCTGAGAAACTCCTTCGTGATTTGTGCATTCAAATCACAGAATGTAACCTATCTAATGATTGAGCAGTTTTGAATCTCTCTTTTTGCAGAATATGTAGCTGGATATTTTGAGAGCTTTGTGGCCAATTGAGGAAAAGGAAATATCTTCACATAAAAACTACACAGAAGCATTCTGAGAGACTTCTTTGTGATGTGTGCTTTAAACTCATAGTGTTGAACCTATCTTTTCATTGAGCAGTATTGAATCTCTCTATTTGTAGAATCTGCAAGTGGATATATGGAGCCCTTTGTGGTCTATGGTGGAAAAGGAAATATCTTCAAATTAAAAGTACACAGAAGCATTCTGAGAAACTTCTTTGTGATATGTGCATTCATCTCACAGGGTTGAACCTATATTATGATTGAGCAGTTTTGAAACACTCTTTTTGTAGAATCTGCAAGTGGATATTTGGAGAGCTTTGAGGCCTGTTGTGGAAAAGGGAATATCTTCACATAAGTACTACACAGAAGCATTCTATGAAATTTCTTGTTATGTGTGCATTCAACTCACAGAGTTGAACCTGTCTTTTGATTCAGCAGTTTTGACTCTCTCTTTCTGTAGAATCTGCAAGTGGATATTTGGATCCTTTTGCACCCTATAGTGGAAAAGGAAATATCTTCAAAAAAAAAA
This sequence comes from Homo sapiens, assembly GCF_000001405.40. NCBI lineage: Eukaryota > Metazoa > Chordata > Mammalia > Primates > Hominidae > Homo > Homo sapiens. Next base: position 11,373,912 of record NC_000022.11, read on the forward strand.
AAAAAACTACACAGAACCATTCTGGGGAAATTCTTTGTGATGAGTGCATTCATCACAAAGAGTTGAAACTTTCTATTGACTGAGTAGTTTTGAAACACTATTGTGTAGAATCTGGAAGTGGATATTTCAAGGGCTTTGAGGTCAATTTTGGAAAAGGAAATATCTTCAGATAAAACTACACAGAAGTATTCCAGCAAACTTCGTTGTTATGTGTGCATTCAACTCACAGATTTGAACCTATCTTTTGATAGAGCGGTTTTGAAACTCTTTTTGTAGCATTGGAGAGCTTTGTGGCCTGTGGTAGAAAATGAAATACCCTCACATAAAATCTAGACAGATGCAATGTGAGAAACTTCTGAGTGATGTGTGCATTCATCTCACAGAGTTAACCTTTCTTTTGATTGAGCAGTTTTGAAACTCTCTTTTTGTAGAATCTGCAAGTGGACATTTAGAGTGCTTTGGGGCCTATGATAGAAAAGGAAACATCTTCACATAAATTGTAGACAGAAGCAATCTGAGAAACTAGTTTGTGATGTGTGCATTCCTCTCACAGAGTTAAAACTTTCTTTTGAGTGAACCGTTTTGAAACTGTCTTTTTGTAGAATCTGCAAATGGATATTTGGAAGGTTTTAAGGCCTACTGTGGAAAAGGAAATATCTTCACATAAAAAGAAGACAGAAGCAATCTGAGAAACTTCTTTGTGATGTGGACATTCGTCTCACAGAAATAAACTTTTCTTTTGATTGAGGAGTTTTGAAAATCTGTTTTTGTAGAATCCGCAAGTGGATATTTGGAGCACTTTGAGGCGTGTGGTGGAAAAGGAAATATCTTAACATAAAAACTAGACAGAAGAATTCTGAGAAACAACTTTGTGATGTGTGCATTCATTTCACATAGTTGAACCTTTCTTTCAATTGAGCAGTTTGGAAACACTCTTTTTGTAGAATCTGCCAGTGGACATTTGGAGAGTTTTGCGGACTATGGTAGAAAAGGAAATATCTTCACATAAAATCTAGACAGAAGCAATCTGAGAAACTTCTTTGAGATATGTGTATTCATCTCATGGAGTTAAACTTTTCTTTTGATATAGCAGTTTTGAAACTCTCTTTTGTAGCATCTACAAGTGGACATTTGGACCACTTTGAGTCCTATGTTGGAAAAGGAAATATCTTCACATAATGTCTAGACAGAAGCAATCTGAGAAACTCCTTTGTGATGTGTGCATTCATCTCACAGAGCTGAAGTTTTCTTTTGATGGAGCAGATTGGAAACTCTCTTTTTGTAGAATTTGCAAGTGGACATTTGGAGCACTTTGAGGCTTGCTGTGGAAAAGGAAATATCCTCACATAAAATGTAGACAGAAGAATTCTGAGAAACTTCTTTGTGATGCGGACCTTCTTCTCACAGAGTTGAACATTACTTTTGATTGAGCAATTTGGAGACACTCTTTTTGTAGAATCTGCAAATGGACATTTGGAGCGCTTTGGGGCCTATGGTAGAAAAGGAAACGTCTTCACATAAATTATAGACAGAAGCAATCTGAGAAACTACTTTGTGATGTGTGCATTCATCTTACAGAGTTAAAACTTTCTTTTGAGTGAGCAGTTTTGAAACTGTCTTTTTGTAGAATCTGCAAGAGGATATTTGGAGCGGTTTGAGGCCTGCAGTGGAAAAGGAAATATCTTCACATAAAAACTAGACAGAAGAATTCTGAGAAACGTCTTTCTGATGTGTGCGTTCATCACAGAGAGTTGATCCTTTCTTTAGTTTGAGCAGTTTTAAAACTCTCTCTTTGTGATACGAAGATATTTCCTTTTCTATCATAGGCCACAAAGCGTTCCAAATGTCCACCTGCAGATTTTACAAAAAGAGTGTTTCCAAACTGCTCAATCAAAAGAAAGCTTCAACTCTGTGAGATGAATGTACACATTGCAAATAAGTTTCTCAGATTGTTTCTTTCTCGATTTTATGTGAAGATATTTCCTTTTCTACCATAGGCCACAAAGCGCTCCAAATATCCACTTGCAGATTCTACAAAAAGAGTTTTTCCAAACTGCTCAATCAATATAAAGGTTCAACTCTGGGAGATGAATGTACACATCACAAAAAAGTTTGTCAGAATTCTTCTGTCTAGTTTTTATGTGAAGATATTTCCTTTTCCAACATAGCCCTCAAAGCCCTCCAAATGTCAATTTGCAGATTCTACAAAAAGAGAGTTTCAAAACTACTCAATGACAACTAAGGTTTAACACTGTGAGATGAATGCACACGTCACAAAGAAGTTTCTCAGATTGCTTCTGTCTAGATTTTACGTGAAGATATTTCCTTTCCTACCATAGGCTGCTAAGTGCTCCAAATCTCCACTTGCAGATTCTACAAAAAGAGTGTTTCCTAACTGCTCAATCAAAAGAAATGTTCAACTCTGTGAGATGAATGCACACATCACAAAGAAGTTTCTCAGATTGCTTCTTTCTAGATTTTAAGTGAAGATATTTCCTTTTCTACCTTAGGCAGCAAAGCGCTGCAAATGCCCACTTGTAGACACTGCAAAAATAGTGCTTCCAAACTGCTAAATCAAAAGAAAGTTTCAACTTTGTGAGATGAATGCACACATCACAAAGAAGTTTCCCAGAATTCTTCTGTCTAGTTTTTATGTGAAGATATTTCCTTTTCCACTATACGCCTCAAGGAGTTGCAAGTGTCCACTTGCAGATTCTACAAAAACAGAGTTTTGAAACTGCTCTATCAAAAGAAACGTTTAACTCTGTGAGATGAATGCACACATCACAAAGAAGTTTCCCAGATTTCTTCTGTCTAGATTTTATATGAACATATTTCCTTTTCTACCATAAACCGCGAAGCGCTCCAAATGTCCAGTTGCAGATTTTACAAAAAGAGTGTTTCCAAACTGTTCAATCAAAAGAAACGTTGAACTCTGTGGGATGAATGCACACATCAGAGAGAAGTTTCTAAGAGTTCTTCTGTCTAGTTTTTATGAGAGATATTTCTTTTTCCACCATTGGCCTGAAAGTGCTCCAAATGTCCACTTGCAGATTCTATAAAAATAGAGTTTCAAAACTGTTCCATCAAAAGAAAGGTTTAACTCTGTGAGATGAATGCACACATCACAAAGAAATTTCTCAGATTACTTATGTCTAGATTTTATGTGAAGATATTTCCTTTTCTACATTAGGGGGCAAAGAAATCCAAATGCCACTTGCAGAATCTACAAAAAGAATCTTTCCAAACTGGTTAATCAAAAGAAAGTTTCAACTCTGAGAGATGAATGCATTCATAACAAAGAAGTTTCTCAGAATTCTTCTGTCAAGTTTTTATGTGAAGATATTTCCATTTCCACCATAGTCCTCAAAGTGCTCCAGATGGCCATTTGCAGATTCTACAAAAAGAGAGTTTCAGAACTGCTCAATCAAAAGAAAGTTTTAACTGCGTGAGGTGAATGCACACATAACAAAGAAGTTTCTCAGTTTGCTTCTATCTAGATTTTATCTGAAGATGTCTCCTTTTCTACCATAAACCACAAAGCGCTCCAAATGTCCACTTGCAGATTCTACAAAAAGAGAGTTTCAAAACTGCTCGATCAAAATTAAGGTTTAACTCTGTAAGATGAATGCACACATCACAAAGCTGTTTCTACGATTGCTTCTGTCTAGATTTTATGTGAAGATATTTCCTTTTCTACCTTAGGCCACAAAGCACTCCAAATGTCCACTTGCAGATTCTACAAAAAGAGAGTTTCCAAACTCCTCAATCAAAAGAAAGATTTAACTCTGTGAGATGAATGCACATTTCACAAATAAGTTTCTCAGATTGCTTCTGTCTAGATTTTATGTGAAGATATTTCCTTTTTTACTATAGGCCCCAAAGCGCTCTGAATATTCACTTGCAGGTTCTACAAAAAGAGTGTTTCCAAACGGCTCAATGAAAAGAAAGATTCAACTCTGTGAGATGAACACACCTATCACAAAGAAGTTTCTCAGAATTCTTCTGTCTAGTTTTTACATGAAGATATTTCCTTTTCCACCACAGGCATTTAAGCACTCCAAATGTCCACGTGAAGATACTACAAAAAGAGAGTTTCAAAACAACTCAATCAAAAGAAAGGTTTAACTCTGTGAGATGAATTC